>NC_000023.11:152354393-152657424 GCF_000001405.40 Homo sapiens
GGACTCTATGAATATAAAGTTTAAACTAACATAATGGAATAAGTAAGACTAAGGAATCGAATCTCAAAAAAATGGCTTAATTAGATAACAAGGGAGAGTGTCCAGTTTGAAGCAATGTCTGGAAAACCATATTATGCCAAGAGAATATTTGAAAGGAATGAGAGTTAGCCTGCAGACAAGAAAGCATGGAGTATATCTGAAAGCCACTATGTGGAAAAAGAAGCAAATGTTGCAAATGTTACAGGGCCCTATAACTAGGAGGTGTTTGAAGAAGGTGGACTTCAGCTCAATATAGGAAGCACTTTCTAACCCCTGGAGCTATGCCCTGTGGTACTAATGCAGCTTATCACTGCAGAGATTCAAACTGGTAGGTGAATCATCAACCATAAAGCAGGAGGGATTCTTTCCCAGGATAGGAGCCTAGGAACTGACAGCCTCTCAGGTCCCAAGTCTGGTTCTGAAATTTTAAGATTTGATGGTCAAATGCTAAGAGTATTGATGCATTGATTCTTTAATAGAAATTACATGTAAATGGAAGGGTTTGGACTTTTCATACTTATATTCCAAGTAAAAGTAAGTACATGTGTGGCCACAGGTGACAGTTTATTCTGAGATTAAGAGAACTGAGAAAATCATTTTCAAGATGAATACAGATGCTTACAAGCACTGACACCTTTAGATAGTAGAACCAAGTCAGGCTGTAGATATGACAAGGAGACAAGCAACTCCCCAGCAGTCTCCTCTTCAGTTCACTGCATCAGTTGTCACCATGGCCACCACCATATGATGTTGATGCAGAAAATGTGTTAATATAGTGTCATATTCCTCCCAAATCATAGTCCCTACTCTATTAGTAGTGTGGAAATATGCGGCCTTGTGTGCAGCATATTTCGTTTGCCTTTTCACTATTCTCCACCCCGTTCTCCTTTCTAGAAGGCTAATTTTTATGCACTACATTATGGGCGCCATTGGCCTATTGCTTCAACTTGAGTTTGGCCACCTTGGCTGAAGATCAGAGGAAGACGAAAAGACTGGGCATGTAACTCCCTGGCTCTCTCCCTGTGAAATCTTCTCAGGCTGGCTGTTTCCTCCACCAAAAATCTGCACCTCTGAAGAAAGCTTGATTTACATGATATGTGTGCTGTTCACCTTAGGTTCTTACTCTATTCCTTGCGGTTTCCCTCCACTTAGATCATAACTTTATGATTAGTCTCTGCAAATATATCCTCCTCAAATAATTGAAATGTCCCATCTGTATTCTCTGGGATCCTGACAAATTCAACAAATTGCAGTCAGACCTGGCATTTGCTGCTTAGGCACTTACGTGTTGACCCATTATGAAAATTGCTGATATTCAATCGTTCTGACCTAGCAAAATGTCAGTTTCAAAATGGTTCAACTTGACATTGTTCACGTACATAATTCCATTTGCTAATGGTCAAAATACTTGACCAGGAACCAGGAGTATAGGAAATTCATTTATTATATGAAGTTGAAATTACTCTCTGTAGCTTCTTATCAAAAATGCAGGACTGGGAATCAGAAACTGGTGCTCTAGACCTGGGTCTCTTATGAACTCATTGTAAGAAAGTCAATTTTCCTTTCTGGGCTTCAGTTTCTTCAGGTACAGATTAAAAAATCAGATTAGATGCTCTCTACAGGTTTTTCCATGGGTGCTGTTCTAAAGTTCCAGAATCCCAAATCCCAAACTATACTGTTAGTTTCTTAAAAACAGGAACTGTGTCCCCAAAGATTCCTTACACCAGAATCATCTGGGGCATTTTAGGCACTATTCCCAGAGCTACCAAATCATAATCTTCAAATGCAGAAGCCTGCTTTCTTGCTTACAAATACTGAATGTTGAGAACTATTACATCAAGCACATGAGTTATACAAAGTACTGGTCGATAAACCACTGTTGATTGTTAAAATGGCTGTGGCGGCCAATGTAGGTGGTTTAATTGAATAAATCATTAAAGTTGGATAAAATAATGCAGTAATGGATTTTTTTCAATACACAAAAACATAATTAAGAAAGTACGGAAATAATCAAAAAGCAGCAGCAGCTCTTAAGTACCACAACTATCAGCAAAAACTCTATACTTTAAAATTATATTGGATCCTTTATTTATGGCAAATACAACTCTAATATTTGTGCTTTTTATGATTAACCAAGTCTAATTTTGTCATAATTTTTTTCTTTACAGCTTTATTTTAGGTTAGGGGATACATGTGCAGGTTTGTTATGTAGGTAAATTATATGTCATGAGGGTTGGTGTACAGATATTTCGTCACCCAGGTAATAAGCATAGTACCCAAAAGGTAATTTTCCTATACTCACCCTCCTTCCACACTCTACCCTCAACTAGGCCCTGGTGTTTATTGTTCCCTTCTTTGTGTCCATGTGTACTCAATGTTCAGCTCCCACTTATAAGTGAGAACACATAGTATTTGGTTTATTGTTCCTGTGTTAGTTTGCTCAGGATAATAGCCTCCAGCTGCATCCATGTTGCTGCAAATGACATGATCTCGTTCTTTTTTATGACTGCATAGTATTCCATGGTGTATATGTACCACATTTATTTTATCTAATCCACTTTAATGAGCATTTAGGTTGATTCCATGTCTTTCCTATTATGAAGAGTGCTGCAATGAACATATGCATACATGTGTCTTTATGATAGAATGAGGTATATTCCTTTGGATATATATCCAATAATGGGATGCCTGGGTCAAATAGTAATTCCATTTTAAGTTCTTTGAGAAATCACCGAACTACTTTCCACAATGGCTGAACTAATTTACATTCCCACCAGCAGTGTATGAGATAGTTGTAGGTGTGCAGCATTATTTCTGAGCTCCGTATTCTGTTCTCTGCAACCTGACCAGCAGCTGTTATAATTTGACTTTTTAATAATAGCCATTCGGACTGATATGAGATGGTATCTCATTGTGGTTTTGATTTGCATTTCTCTAATGATCAGTGATGTTCAGCATTTTTTCATATGCTTGTTTGCCACAAAAAAATGTCTTCTTTTGAGGAGTGTCTGTTCATGTCTGTTGCCTATTTTTTAATTGGGTTGTTTTTTGCTTGTGAATTTGTTTAGGTTCCTTATAGATGCTGGATATTAGACCCTTGTTGGATGCACACCTTACAAATATTTTCTTCCATTCTGTAGACTGTTTACTCCCTTGATAGTTTCTTTTGCTGTGCAGAAGCTCTTTCATTTTATTAGGTCTCATTTGTCAATTTTTGGTTTTGTTGCAATTGCTTTTCATGTCTTCATCATGAAATCTTTGCCAGGTCCTATGTCTAGAATGATATTTTCTAGATTATCTTCCAGGGTTTTTGTAGTTTTAGGTTTGACATGTAAGTTTTTAATCCACCTTCCCAGCACCATTTATTGAATAGGGATTTCTGTCCCCATTGCTTGTTTTTGTCAATGCTGTGAAAGATCAGATGTTTGTAGATCTGTGGCATTATTTCTGGGCTCTCTATTCGGTTCCCTTGGTCTAGGTGTCTATTTCTGTACCGGTACCATGCTGTTTTGGTTACTACAGCCCCATAGTATAGTTTGAAGTCAGGTAGTGTGATGTCTCTAGCTTTGTTCTTTTTGCTTAGGATTACCTTGGCTATTTGGGCTCTTTTGGGGTTCCATATACATTTTAAAATAGTTTTTTTCTAGTTCAGTAAAGAATGTCATTGGTAGTTTGATAAGAATAGCATTGAATCTGTAAATTGCTTTTGGAAGTATGGCCATTTTAACAATATTGATTCTTCCTATCCATGTGCATGGAATTTTTTTCATTTGTTTGTGTCATCTCTGATTTCTTTGAGCAGTGTGTTGTAATGCTTATTGTAGAGCTCTTTCACCACCCTGGTTAGCTGTATTCACAGGTATTTTACTCTTTTATGGCTATCGTGAATGGGATTGCGTTTTTGATTTGGCTCTCAGCTTGGATGTTGTTGGTGTATGATGCTACTGATTTTTGTACATTAATTTTGTATCCTGAAACTTTGCTGAAGTTTTAAAATCAGATCAAGGAACTTTTGGGCAGAGACTTTTCTGGGTATAGAATCATATTGTCTGCAAACAGAGATAGTTAGACTCCCTATCTTCTGATTGGTATGCCTTTTATATCTTTCTCTTGCCTGATTGCTCTGGCTAGGACTTCAGTACCATGTTTAATAGGAGTAGTGAGAGAGGGCATCCATGTCTTGTTCTGCCTTTCAAGGAGAATGCTTCCAGCTTTTGCCCATTCAGTATGCTATTGGCTATGGGTTTTTTCACAGATAGTCCTTATTATTTTGAAGTATGTTCCTTCAATGCCTAGTTTGGGTGGTGGCTTATACCTGTAGTCCTTCATTTTAATGAAATAATGTTGATTTTTATCAAAAGGCTTTTATGCATCTACTGAGACAATTATGTGTGTTTTTGTTTTTAGTTCTACTTATGTGGTGAATCACATTTATTAATTTGCATATGCTGAACCAACCTTGCATTCCAGGCATAAAGTCTACTTGATCATGGTGGATTCAATTTTTGATATGCTACTGGATTTGGTTTGCTACATTTTATTGAGGATTTTTGCATCTACGTTCCTCAAGGATATAGGCCACAAGTTTTCTTTTTTGTTGTGTACCAGGTTTTGGTATCAGGATGATGCTGGTTCTCACAGAATGAGTTAGGGAGGAGTCCTTCCTCCTCAGTTATTTGGAATAGTTGCAGTAGGAATGGTACCAGTTCTTCTTTATATATCTGGTAGAATTTGGCTGTGAATTAATTTGTTCCTAGACTTTTTCGGATTGGTAGGCTTTTTTTTACTGATTCAATTTTGGAACTTGTTATTGGTCTGTTCAGGGATTCAATTTCTTCCTGGTTCAGTCTTAGGAAGTCGCAAGTTTCAAGGAATTTATCCATTTCTTCTAGGTTTTCTAGTTTGTATGCATAGAGATGTTCATAGTAGTCTCTGAGGGTTTTCTGTATTTCTCTGGGGTCAGCAGTAACATGTTCTTTGTTATTTCTGATTGTGTTTATTTGGATCTTCTCTTTTTTTCTGTATTAGAATAACTAGTGGTCTATCCATCTTATTCATTCTTTCAAAGAACACACTCCTGGACTTAATCTTTTGTATGTTTTTTTGCATCTCAATTTCCTTCAGTTCAGCTCTGATTTTTGTTATTTCTTGTCTTTTGCTAGCTTTGGGGTTGGTTTCCTCTTGGTTCTCTAGTTCCCCTAGGTGTGACATTAGGTTGTTAATTTGAGATCTGTGTAACTTTTTGACTTGGGCATTTAGTGCTACAAACTTCCCTCTTAACACTCTTTAGCCATGTCCCAGAGATTCTGGTATTTGTATCTTTGTTCTCATTACTTTCAAGAAATTTCTTTATTTCTGCCTTAATTTCATTATTTACCCAAAAGACATGCAGAAGAATACAACCTTAATATTTGGGCCATGCTTTTAGTAGTATCATGCCTCAAAAGTATTAATTGCACTGGGCTTGGAGGAAAGTAAAGAAAAAAATGTTTCTAATTCTTGCGATAGTTTACTGAGAATGATGGTTTCCAATTTCATCCATGTCCCTACAAAGGACATGAACTCATCATTTTTTATGGCTGCATAGTATTCCATGGTGTATATGTGCCACATTTTCTTAATCCAGTCTATCATTGTTGGACATTTGGGTTGGTTCCAAGTCTTTGCTATTGTGAATAGTGCTGCAATAAACATACGTGTGCATGTGTCTTTATAGCAGCATGATTTATAGTCCTTTGGGTATATACCCAGTAATGGGATGGCTGGGTCAAATGGTATTTCTAGTTCTAGATCCCTGAGGAATCGCCACACTGACTTCCACAATGGTTGAACTAGTTTACAGTCCCACCAACAGTGTAAAAGTGTTCCTATTTCTCCACATCCTCTCCAGCACCTGTTGTTTCCTGACTTTTTAATGATTGCCATTCTAACTGGTGTGAGATGATATCTCATAGTGGTTTTGATTTGCATTTCTCTGATGGCCAGTGATGATGAGCATTTCTTCATGTGTTTTAACAAAAAACCAAACACCGCATATTCTCACTCATAGGTGGGAATTGAACAATGAGATCACATGGACACAGGAAGGGGAATATCACACTCTGGGGACTGTGGTGGGGTCGGGGGAGGGGGGAGGGATAGCATTGGGAGATATACCTAATGCTAGATGACACGTTAGTGGGTGCAGCGCACCAGCATGGCACATGTATACATATGTAACTAACCTGCACAATGTGCACATGTACCCTAAAACTTAGAGTATAATAAAAAAAAAAAAATTAAAAAAAAAAAATTAAAAAAAAAAATTAAAAAAAAAAATAAATTAAAAAAAAAAAATGTTTCTAATTCAAGAAACAGAAACCAGGTGTGGTGGCCCACACCTGTAATACCAACACTTTGGGAGGTCAATGTGGGAAGATCTTTTGAGGTCAGGAGTTTGAGATCAGCCTGGGCAAGACAGTGAGACCCTATCTCTAAAAAATAATTTTAAAAATCAGCCACGTGTGGTGGCTTATACCTGTAGTCCCAGCTACTCAGGAGGCTCAGGCAGGAGGATCATGTGATCATGTGAGCCCAGGAGTTTGAAAGTTTGAAGTTACAATGAGCTATGATCACATCACTGCATTCCAGCCTGGGTAGCAGAGTAAGACCACGTCTTTAAAAAAAAAAAAAAAAAGAAAGAAAGAAAGAAAGAAAACATGCAGTGATTGTATTGCCTCTTTACTAAAACCAAGCACTTCACTCTGCTTTTTCAGGTAGGATTTCTTGGCCTACTCCTTGACATAATTACTAAAAACTAGGCTATCTGGTTTTCTAAGCATCAACAGGATGCTAACAAACCATTGTAAAGAGGACACGGGACATAAGAACTAACACTGGCTGGGCACAGTGGCTCATACTGGGAGGCTGAGGCGGGCGGATCACAAGGTCAGGGGTTCGAAACCAGCCTGACCAACATGGTGAAACCCCATCTCTACTAAAAATACAAAAATTAGCTGGGCGTGGTGGCATGTGCCTGTAATCCCAGCTACTCCGGAGGCTGAGGCAGGAGAATGGCTTGAACCCAGGACACGGAAGTTGCAGTGAGCTGAGATCGCACCATTGCACTACAGCCTGGGTGAAGAGTGAGACTCCATCTCAAAAAAAAAAAAAAAAAAAAAATTCGAATGAATATAATGAACATGTGCTTAAGAATTTTTTGTGGTTTTTTTTTTTGTCTGTTTGTTTGTTTTAGAGATAGAGTCTCACTGTGTGGCCATGGCTGGCCTTTAACTCCTGGGCTCAAGAGATCCTTCTGTATCAGCCACCCAAGTAGCTGGGACTACAGGCATGTGCCATGGCATGCAACCGTGAATTTTCTTTATGATGACCAAAAGTCACAAAGAAATGGGACTATTCTGTTTAAAAAAATCCTTGTTTAGGATTATAAGAAAATATGCAATACATTTTTAGAAAACTATATTATCAGAGTTAAAATGTAAAAGGCTTTAACACTTGAAGCGGTAAGGTTAATTTATTTAGAACCTTCATCTTATTTAGAATCTATCATGGCCCAGTGAAATGAAATACATGAGGAGTTAACAAAACAGAACTGGTTTTATTTTCCATTTTGGAAGAAAGAACAAAAAGAGTCTTATATACCAAGATTCTAAGGATATACAAGCCCAGTTCTGCAGCCTCAGCCCCAGAGATTACTGTAAAAATGCTGATATAAGATGAAAAGACTCAGAGTACATTAAGATAATCAACACTGCAAAAATAATTAGGAATACTTCCTACTTCAAGATGCATGCTTCCAAGAATATAGGACAATAGCCAAATGTAAAACCAAAAAAAAAAAGTCACTACCAAGGAATAAAATACCTTGGGTAATATTGAAATATTGCAGGGCTAAGAGGTCATTTCTAGTAATGATATTCCTTGGATTAGAAGGGATTTTAAAGTCTAAAAGGAGTTCAACATTGCTGAACACAGTTTGGTGGCAGAAAGACTAAGAAATAAGGCTAGCAAGGTGGGTAGAAGCTGGGTCCTAATGGGTTTTATAAAATCATGTTAAAGAGTTTGTACCTTATTGTAGGGACAACAGAAAACCATGAAAGGGCTCTAAATAGGGTAGGTATGGTCAAACATGCATTACAGAAAAAAATAGTTACAGAGTGGAGGTTAGTTTGGATGGAAACAAGATTTTAGGAAGTAAGACAAGGTTTGCACAGTGGTCCAAGTGAGAGACAACATCAGATTAAACTAGGGTGCTAGCAGAAAAGTTGGAAAAAAGTAGATGAATCCAAGAGATGTGGGAGGTAGAAATGACAAATCTTGGTGATTGATTCAATCTGGAGAGTAAAGGGTAGAAAACTGGCAAAAATGATTCCAAGTTTCTGACTTGAGCAACTGGGTACACAGTGGTACCACTGACTGAAACAGGAAAAAAATGGAAGAGGAATATTTTTGTCTGTTTGTTGTTTGTTTTGTTATGTTTGTTCTTTAGGATGGGGGAGGGAGATGAAGCTAATTAAATACATTGGACATGCTTAGTTTAAGAAGTGTGTGGAATAGCCAAGTGGGCATGTTCAGTAGACAGTTGGATATAGAAGTCTGACATTCAAGAGAAGTCTAGAATGAAGATTGAGATGGGAGTCATTGGCATTTACATATATAAGGTAACTACATCATAGAAATGGATTACATCACTCAGGGGATCTGTAGGGTAAGAAGTGTGCCTAGAACAAAACAAGGAAAAACACAAACACCTGAGGGGTGAACAAAAGAAGACTAAAAAGGATCTTTATATCACAAAGGTCTTTGATGTACCTGTGTAGTATTGTGGAAAATATTGCAGAAAGCATAGTCATAAAAGTATAAAGAAAACCAGATGTAGTATTTATTATTGGTATAATACTATTCTCGGATCCCTTTACTGGGCCAGTGAAATCATCCTGCAGCTACTTTGGAAAATTACTATCTGTTGCAGGGAGTCGCCTCACCTAAAATATCTGGAAGACTATGCCTTTCTCCAGGGGATCCACAGGCAAAGACTAATTGAGGTGAGAGTACACAAGCTTGGGTCCCTTGCCTCAAAGTAGGACAAATCTTTTAGTGCCATTTATGCCCCACTTCTCCTCATGAGGTCAAATTGAGGCTACACCTTTGCTTTACTTCTTCTCTTTCCCTATCTTCCTTCCCTTACTTCCTTACAGGTTTCTGTTGAAAGTGACCTCTCAATAAATCATTTGCTCAAGAATCCTTGTTTCATACTCTGTTTCTAGAGAACCCAATCAAAACACCAGAGAATTATAGTGTCTCTGAAGCCAAAAAGAATTATTATTAAACTATATATTTATATTTTATGCATGTTTCTACATGTATTTTTATTTCATAATAAAATGAAGTCAAGGATGGAGAAGTCAACAATATTGGAACGTAAGAACAGAGAAGTGTTCATTTCAGCAACAGAACCAACATTGGCCATCTTGGCTGCAGAAGTTGCCTTAGAGTCTGGGGTTGGAAGTCAGATGGCAGCAAGTGAATGAAAGGGTGAGAGGTAAATAGATGCAATGAAGCATACCACTCCTTCAAGAAATATGGCTATGAAGGGGAGCAAATAATTAAGGCAGTATCTGGAGGGAAGATTTTTAAATTTAAGATGAGTGATTCCTAAACATTATCATGTTTAAATGCTATGGAGCCACACAGCCAATAAAAAGGAAAAGGTTGAAGATCTAAGAGAGGAGAGATAAAATTGAGGGCAAAAGAACTATTTTTAAGATATTACAGAGGTGATTCAAGCCTGGGCCAGGGTGTTGTCTAAGAAAAAGAAACTTTGAGATCTCTTTCTACTTTGAGAGTCTGAGCCTATGACTTTTTTCTAAATATAATGTAATGTATAAGTATCAGAGACCAGAGTACTTGGGTTCATCTGGGGGAAAACATCAGAAGTTTTGGTCTGAGGCAAACATTTATCACAGTCTTCTTTCATCCTAAGAGTTAGGGGTTCTTACCCGCCAATGTCCTGCTTCACAAAGTCCCCGGGTTCTTGTCGTCTTGATTCCCCTTGACCAGTGGTTCCAGGGAGAATATTAATCAGGAAAAGAATCCCAAGGCTGGTCATGTAACAGTGACTTGTTTGTGTGATTATCATCTTCTTAGGCACAAACTTGGAGAGACCTGTGAGATTCACAGTTTAGATAAGGGATAAGAGGTAGAGAGTAGAAAACAAAGGGAGAGAGGAGAAAGAGGTAAAAAAGAGAGAAAGAGATGTTATTAAACTCTATTAGAGCCATTTAACTTCTCTAGTGTCTAGTTACTCAGTGCTTAATTCAACAGTCCCCTTTTCCCAGCTTGTCAATGCCACCAAAATCGCCCCCAATATACCCTTCTCCTAAATATACCAGAGCCCATCCAAGAAAGGATGCACAGTGTAGCACAAACAGCCCTAAGTCAGTAATCAGGAGTCTGAGGTTACTGCAACATCTCTTTCCTTGGCTTCACCCTATGTGATTAGGTGAATCACAGAACTTCCCTCAGCTTGGGTTACCTCTTATAATCTAAGATCTTAAAAATATTCTCTCATGTCTTCATTTTATTTCCCTCCAATTCCCTGTTTGATCTTTAGTGTTACAAAGTCCTTTGCCTTGGTTAACTGTGTAATATCGTAGAGAATCCTACTATCCTAGTATATTAAGACCTGGAGTCTTTTTATAGCATTTTTGGGATTGATTCTCAGCTTCATAGAGTTAAACAATTTTCCAAAAGATTAAATGGCCTGAAGTGGATAGACTGTTTCCTCTAAATTAGGTTGAGAAAATACTGAATAATGAGACATCATGGCTCTTGAATAAGAATGCAGTATTTCCCCATAAAGAGATATTTGAAAGCAAACTTGTTCCTTTAGATAGGGGACACAACAAAAAGAGAAATCCAAGCCTACTTCCTGACACTGAAATCTCTAAGAGGTCAGCAAATTATACTGGTGATAGAACTAGTGATATGGAGTTCCCTATAAGGAAGGCTGTTTTATGAACCCTGGATCAGTGGAGATTTACCCAAGACATGGGGTTAAGAAAGCAACCAATAAAGTGATGGTTACTTGCTACCTCTAATTTGTGTGGCTTCTTTGATTATGAGACACTGAGAACTTGAAGGAGACCTAACTCTGACCCAACAACATACCCTTTTTCAGTCATATCAGTGAATTAATTTTCAGAGAAAATGGAGGGATATATAACTGGTTTTTTTTCCAAGAAAGCTTATACAAGAGACCAATATGTAAAACAGATACACATTAAGGAGCTATTCTGGTTGGTGAGATTAAGAACAAAAGGCCTTTTAAATTCACCCCACACGCCTCAAAAAAGCAGCCACTGGATCTATATTAAGCTGTCTTCATGAATCTGGTATAGGCATTTGAAAAACTACAACAATGGAGAAGACAGACTTCTGACATGATGAAGTGTCAACATTAGAGACAGAGATAATCATAGTATTAGATTGCACCATATGAAATTGCCAATATTTCACAATTTTGGTTTTATCAAAGAAAGCAATTTCTTATGGTCAACCTAATATAAGAGCTGTGACATCCATGCTTCATGAACAATAAAAGAGTTGATGGACATTTTACAGGAGTATACAGGAATGGTACGGTTCAGAAAACCATAGTATATGAGTAAGAAAAGATAGTGCATGATCAGACAACTCCAAGCATAAGTAACTTCCATGGTAAGGGCAGTAACCATGATATACGCTCAAACATTCACAGTGCTTTAGCAGACCTTAATGTTGTGTAATCATATGACAAGAATTAATGTTCAGATAATCACGATACATGAATTGACAACTACTCTACAGGAACAGAGACACTTGGGCTAGGATATGAAGTTCAAATCATAGAAATAATCCATGGAACATAAGACATAGCCATGATGCATGCTTAGAAAACATGAGTCCATGAGTAACAATCCTGGATGTAGGAGAAGATGGCCATGCTGTGTAAACAAAGAGATCCATAGTGTGTGTTCAGCTATGCTATTCTACTATATCACTATGGGTTATGTTCAAATTATCATGGTAGATAAGCAGCAAACTATCATATTAAGAATAGATGGCAATTACATAGAATTAAATGCCCATGATTTGGAAAGAGAAAACTAAGACATATACTATGATACATAAAAAAGACAACAGCATTACATGAAATCATAACTAAATAAAATGTCTGTGACAGTGAAACAAAGAGCCTTCAAAAATGATCACACATCCATGTGGCTGGAGGCAAATACAGTATATGCATAGACAAACATGATACATGTGAAGAAGCATTTGGTACATCAATTCTTAACCATGATAAATGCACACAGAATATATGTATCATAGCAACCATACTATAGGAATTAAGTGAAATGGTTTAGGAGCAGACTGAAGTGCTATGGAATTAGATTACCATGGTGCAGGAACACAAAAGGTCATGGTCCATGAGTAGGCAGACATGGTCAAAAATTTTTCACTGTAGCAGAAAGGTAAGATACAGTTGCAAGTGACCATAGTGAAGAATTGATATCCTTTGGGTAATGATGATGACAGTGAATAAATAGCTATTTGTAGTGTACGAACACACAAATATAACGCACATATCCATGGTGAATAAAATGAAAATTACAGTGAAGGAACATCATACGAATATTCAGACAACCATGATGTACAAGCAGAAGGTAAAACCTATTGCTGATTTTAATCAAGAAGCCAGGCTATGTTGCAAAAGTAGACAACCATAGTGTATGCTTATATAAGTACAGTACATAAAAAAAAAATGTCCTGTGAGTTTACAGTCAACCATGGCACAAATGCAGATGCCTTTGGCAGGAGCAGATTGGCTATGAAACAGGAGGAGACAACTCTTGTGCAAACTCAGATAATCATGGTGTTAGAAGAGATTATCCATGATACATGAACACATAATCATGACACGTGCTCAGGCCATTATAATATGTAATTGCATGGCCAAATTAGCAAATGATTACCAACCAATTCACCCTACTAAAGAGCTAAAGGAAGGTACAAGGAACAAACAAATAGACGAAAATATCATTTATAAACTGATGACTTGCAAATTAATATCTTCATTCCAGATATTACCTCGAATCCATATATGTATCTAGATATGGGTTCCAGGAGATAACACATATCTTAAACTCATATCGTAACTCATAAGTAAAACTTAAACCCAGGTTAGGTTTAAGATACCTCTCACAAAACTCTGTACCTAAATGTCTGAGAGGCATCTTAAACATAACATTTTCAGATATGAAGTTCAGATATCCACCCCCACACACATATATAGACCTGGTCCTGTGCAGTATTTCCCATCTCAAGTAATAGTGACTCCTCTGCACTTCCATTTGCTCTGATTAAAACTCTAATGTCATTCTTGACTCCCCTTTAACGTTCAAACCACACATCTGATCTATTAACAAGTCTCATTGGCATTCCATTCAAAAGGAAATATATCCAAATTAAAGCCATTGATCATTACCTCTGTTGCTACCACTCTAGCTTGTCATCTCTTGTCAAGATCATTGTAAAAGCTTCTTAACTGGTTTTGCTGCCTCTGTCCTTGCTCCCCTAGAGTCTGTTCCCTACAAAGTGGGCAGAGGGAACTTTTAAAGTGCTAAGGCAGATAATTTCTTCCCCCTGCTCATAATCCTCCCATTTCTTCCCATTTCAAAAGCCTCAGTCTCTTAGCATTTTTTGAGAATATATTATATTATTAACTCTAGTCACCATGTTGTACAAGAAATCTCTTGGACTTATTCCTCCTATATAACTGAAATTTTGTATCCTTGGGCCAACATCTACCCACCCCAGACCATACCTTCCAGCCCCTGGTAACCACCATTCTACTCTCTGCTTCTGTGAAATCACCTTTTTTAGATTAATCCACATGTAAGTGGCATCATGAGGTATCTGTCTTTCTCTGTATGCCTTATTTCACTTAACATAATGTACTATAGGTTCATCCATGTTGTCACAAATGACAAGATTTCACTGTTTTTGAAGGCTGAATCATATTCCATTGTGTATGTATACCACATTTTCTTTATCCATTAATGCATTAATGGACATTTAAGTTGATTTCATATCTTGGTTATTGTGAATAACGCTGCATTAACATGGAAGTGCATATATCTCTTCAACATACTAATTTAATATCCTTTGGATATATAACCAGTAGTGAGATTGCTGAATCATGTAACTCTATTTTTAATTTTTTTTCTTTTTTTTTTTTTTTTTTTTTTGAGACAGAGTCTCGCTCTGTCGCCCAGGCTGGAGTGCAGTGGCGTGATCTCGGCTCACTGCAAGCTCTGCCTCCTGGGTTCACACCATTCTCCTGCCTCAGCCTCCCGAGTAGCTGGGACTACAGGCACCGGCCACCACGCCCAGCTAATTTTTTGTATTTGTAGTAGAGACGGGGTTTCACCGTGTTAGCCAGGATTGTCTCGATCTCCTGACCTTGTGATCCGCCCATCTCGGCCTCCCAAAGTGCTGGGATTACAGGCGTAAGCCACCGCGCTAGGCCCTATTTTTAATTTTTTTTGAGAGACCTCCACATTGTTTTCCATAATGGCTGTGCTAATTTGCATTCCCACCAACAGTGTGTGAAGGTCCCTTTTCTCCACATCCTCTCTAACATGATTGGTCTTTTTGATAATGCCCAGTCTAACAGGTGTGAGGTGATTTACATTTCCTTTAAGATTAGTGATATTGAGAATTTTATCATATACCTATTGGCCCCTTGTATGTGTCACCATAAAAATTATAACTACATGAGAGAATGCATATGCTAATTAGCTGGATTTAGTCATTCCACAATGTGTATATACCTTGAAACATCATGTTGTACATGGTAAATGCATGCAATTTTTATCTGTCAATTAATAAATAAATAAATAAATATATGATCTACAAGGTCCTACATGACCTGATCTCCAAATAGCTGGCTAGTCTCATCCCCTACTACCCTCCCGTCTCACACACTCCACTTCAGCCACTGTGGCCTCCTTCGCTGCTCATGAAATATGTCAGGTATGCTCCTGCACCAGGGCCTTTGCACCTGCTATCCCCTCTACCTGGGATGTTCTTCCATCCAATTTTCATATAATTTGTTCCGTCACTTCCTTCATAGTGTTATTAAAATATCATCTTTTCATTGAGGGCTTCCCTGGCCACCCTATCTAAAATTTCAAGCCTTCCACACATTCCTCATACATCCTATACAGTTGTCTGCCCTATTTTTCTTCCTTTGTGTCTAAAAGGAAGAAAAATTGCTTGTTTCTCAGATAGAAAAGCTCAATGGGGATGAGGATTTTGGTTTTTTTTAAATTCAAAGATATATGCCCAATGCATAGAAGAATATCTGACAAATAATGAGTACTTAATAAATACTGAATAAATGAATGGTATTGTAACTAAGTCACATTCCTAAATGAGGAAAATTGGTTAAGAAGGATAAGGTGTAGGATGGGCTTTGGAACCTGCCAGACTGAAAGGTTACTGGGCACTACCAAATACTAGTTGTGTTAGGCTTTAATGACCTACTTCTTCAATAAAAAATGGGGATAACATCCATCTTGTAAAGGCTGTCAATATTATATAAGATAACAAACGTAAAATGCCTAGTTAAACACCTGCTACTGGGATAAGTCTTCTGATAAGTCTTGTCCAAAGACAAATTCATTTTATCACATTTGAGCACCTGCTATGTACAAGGTACCAATACGACCAATTATTCTATTGGAATTCCTAAAACTTCTTTATTTCAGTACCTAGAAACCACCAGATACTGACATTATGCTTACAAATGTCCCTGTTTGGATGACATGAGGACTGTCTGCCAGAACTTTACCTGAACAAAGTCATTCCACATGTTGTTACCCAGATACTACAAAGTCAACTCTGCCATTTGTCACAACTTGTCACCAGAGTTTCATTTAAGGTCATCTAATTCCACCTAGCCTCAAAGCACTGTCATTCATAAAGGTTTTCAAGACAAAAACATCTTAGTTTCAATTCTGGATATACCACATAGAAATTTGAAATTGGGCAGGTTATTTGACTCAATATTCTAATCCAAATAATGGATTAATTAATCCATTGTTGTCATAAGAATTAAATAATCTAATTCATATGTAGCATTAGCCTTAAGCTTGACATATAGTAAATTTTGGTCACTGTAAACTACAGGTCTATTATTTGACCTCTTTTCCTCCAATGAGCCTCAGCTCTATCCTAATCCATTTGTCCCTTCCATGGCCATATCCTAAGACTTGTCATTACAAGTCCATGATCTTGAATCACTCTCTGACCACATATTTCCAACATTTTTCATCTAGCACCTTCATACTGTCAATTCTTCTACCCACATCCACCCATTCCACCCCACTCCACGGATTTCTAATCTACTGATCTTACAATCTTAGAATTGCTCATCATCATCTTCACGTTCTCATTTCCTTTCTTACCCTGCTTGGATAACATACATAGTCCATAATTAAAATCAGTATAATCATTGTCTGGTATACACCCTGAATACACTTGTATCTCTCATACTGTACTGTACCTGCCTGGAAAAACATAAACCTTGGTCAAATCCAACTCTCCATCTACAAATAAGCACCTTAATATATCTGGAAAAATCTGCATAATGCCTGACTGGCCTCTCTTTAAATTTTCTTCAACATACTTCAATGTCCCACGATCCTTTTGCACTTGCCAAACCAATTCACTCTCCCACTCTCAAGAGATAATATTTTACTTTCTTTTCTCTCTGGGAGAAGAAATAACTCTTTTCCCAGAATCTCTGCAAATAGCTTTGCTTCTTATTTTACCAAGCAATCAAAAGACCATGCGCTCTCCTTCCTAATATCAACTATACCAACCTACCAGAATGTCAGCCATATACTTTAACCTTTTCCCTGTTACCAGGAGTGTCTGCTCCTATCTAATGCAAGCACCCCCACATGTGTCCTGGATCCCATTTCCTGTCTCCTGGTCAAATGTATTATTTGGTTATTGTCTCATCTCTCCCACACTTGTCAGTTTGTCCCTCTATACTGGCTCATTCCTTGCAGCATAAAAGTGATGCAATATCATCGATCATTTTGAAAAAAAAATCATCCCTTGACCTGACATTCCTCCAACCCTTTCTCAATTTTTCTGCCTGCCTTTTATGGTAACCCATTTCAATCATTATCTCTATCTCAACTTCCTCAACAATCATTCCCTCATACTATCTATATCAATCAAGTATTTTCATCTATCACTCCACTGAATCCACTCTTAGTATTAATTCATTCAAAATTTATGGAGTATCATCTATGTACCAGGCACCATTCTAAGTTCTAGGAATACAGCAGTGAACAAAACAGCCAAAAAGTGAATCAATGAAGAAAAACAAGAACACGGGACCAAGGACTCTTCCCTTACATATCAAAGCCATCCCTATCCGATCCATATCCATACCTTGATTTCTCTCTTCCATGCCCTATATTCAAACTGTCAGCTTATCTTGTTGATTTTGGAACAGACCCAGACTCTGACCACTTCTCAATACTTTCATTGCCCCTTAGCTGTTCAAAACCACCCCCATGACTGCAATGAATGGCTAACTTCTTTCTCTGCTGCAACTCTTGCCCCCTTATAGTCCATTCTCTGGACAGTAGTCAGAATGAGGGGTTTTTAGAAAAAAAAATATATATAAGTCAGACCCACTCTCTTCTCAAACTTTCCTAGTGGATATTTTCGGAATCCTAAGTACTTGCCATGACCTATAAGAATCTACTTTATTTGACCACTGGCTACCTCTAAAACCTCACCTCTTTCTACTTTCGGTCTCCCCTACTCATACCAATTCACACTTGTTTTCCCAATACTCCTTGAAAACACCCAGCCTTAAGGGACTTTGTACTTGCTCTTTCCTCTGTCATAAATGCTTTTCCCATATATCTCTTTGCCTCC
This sequence comes from Homo sapiens, assembly GCF_000001405.40. Lineage (NCBI taxonomy): Eukaryota > Metazoa > Chordata > Mammalia > Primates > Hominidae > Homo > Homo sapiens. Next base: position 152,372,442 of record NC_000023.11, read on the forward strand.
TTATCCAATTCCACTTTCTTATGGGATATATAACTACACAAAATTACATTATGTACTTACTTATTTCCATTTCTCCCACTGGATATAAGCTTCATTAGTGCAGGAACTTAACTCTAACTCTGGGCCATAGAGTAGAGCCTAGCACATGACTGTTACTCAATAAAATATTTGTTGGAAAAAAAGAGTGAATTTTTTCATGAGTTCATGCTCACACAACTCTGGGCATCCTTTTCTTCTCAGAGGTATAATCTCAAGACTATGCTACTTTCCTAAAACCTTTCCCCCATGCCCTTTCAATCCTTCATTTTATGGAAAACAAATTATTCTATGCTCTCAACTTTTTAAAGGAAAACTTTTCTGTTCTCTTTGCCTTAAATAAATTGGGATTTATATTATAGACACTACTTCATTAACTTTCCCCTGAAGTGTGACATGTGCATACTCCCATATATTATGCAACTGAGAGACAAGATGAGAACTATCTCATTTTTTCAATGCCACGTTGAAACCATCTCTCATCTATGCATGTGCACCACAGTCCTTCTTATTTGAGGTTCATGCCTCCTATCTGTATCACTCTCTGCCTTTCAATCTTACGTCTGCCTCCTTGAAGCCTCCCGACACTGATTCGGAAACTATGCTCAGTTCATACTTCTATCTTTTTGTGGCGTTTCTGTATACTATTTTTTCTTCAACTTTTATTTTAAGTTCCAGGGTACATGTGCAGGATGTGCAGGTGTGTTACATAGGTAAACATGTGCCATGATAGTTTGCTGCACAGATCAACCCATCACCTAAGTATTAAGCCCAGAATTCATTAGGTATTCTTGATGCTCTTCTTCCCCCAACCCACTGTGGAGAGGCCCCAGTGTATATTGTTCCTCCCCATGTGTGCAATGAACATACACGTGTATGTATCTTTATAATAAAGTGATTTATATTCCTTTAGGTATATACCCAGAAGTGGGATTGCTGGGTCAAATGGTATTTCTGTTTCTAGATCTTTGAGGAATTGCCACACTGTCTTCCACAGTGGTTGAACTAATTACATTCCCATCAGCAGTGTAAAAGTATTCCTTTTCCTCTGCAACTTTGCCAACATCTATTGTTTCTTGACTTTTTAATAATCGCCATTCTGACTGGCGTAAGATGGTATCTCAAAGTGTAGTTTTGATTTGCATTTCTTTTTTTTTATTATTATTATGCTTTAACTTCTAGGGTACATGTGCACAACGTGCAGGTTTGTTACATATGTATACATGTGTCGTGTTGGTTTGCTGCACCCGTTAACTCGTTATTTACGTTAGGTATTTCTCCCAATGCTATCCCTCCCCCATCCCCCCACCCTACAACAGGCCCCGGTGTGTGATGTTCCCTGCCCTGTGTCCAAGTGTCCTCATTGTTCAATTCTCACCCATGAGTGAGAACATGCGGCGTTTGGTTTTCTGTCATTGGGATAGTTTGCTCAGAATGATGGTTTCCAGCTTTATCCATGTCACTACAAAGGACATGAACTCATCCTTTTTTATGGCTGCACAGTATTCCATGGTGTGTATGTGCCACATTTTCTTAATCCAGTCTATCATTGATGGACATTTGCATTTCTCTAATGATCAATGATGTTGAGCATTTTTTCATATGTTTGTTGGCCACATGAATGTCTTGTGAGGAGTGTCTGTTCATGTCCTTTGCCCACTTTTTAATGGGGTTTTTTGCTTGTAAGTTTGTTTAGATTCCTTGTAGACTCTATATAGCAAACCTTTGTCAGATGGATAGATTGCAAACATTTTCTCCCATTCTGTAGGTTGTCTGTTCACTCTGATGATAGTTTCTTTTGTTGTGGAGGAGCTCTTTAGTTTAATTAGATACCATTCGTCAATTTTTTCTTTTCTTTTCTTTTTTTTTTTTTTTTTTTTTTGAGATGGAATCTTGCTCTGTCACCCAGGCTGGAGAGGCTGGAGTGCAGTGGCACAATCTCCACTCACTGCAAGCTCCACCTCCCAGGTTCACGCCATTCTCCTGCCTCAGCCTCCCGAGTAGCTGGGACTACAGGCACGCGCCACCACACCTGGCTGATTTTTCGTATTTTTAGTAGAGATAGGGTTTCACTGTGTTAGCCAACATGGTCTCGATCTCCTGACCTCGTGATCTGCCTGTCTCGGCCTCTCAAAGTGTTGGGATTACAGGCGTGAGCCACCGCGCTTGGCCCAATTTTTGCTTTTGTTGCAATTGCTTTTGATGTTTTTGTCATGAAATGTTTGCCTATGCCTATATCCTGAATGGTATTACCTAGATTTTCTTCTAGGATTTTCTTCATTTTATAGTTTTTGGTTTTACATTTAAGTCTTTTATCCATCTTGAGTTAATTTTTGTATAAGGTATAAGGAAGGGGTCCAGTTCCAATTTTCTGCATATGGCTAGCCAGTTCTCCCAGCACTATTTATTAAATAGGAAATCCTTTCCACATTGCTTGTTTTTGTCAAGTTTGTCAAAGATCAGATTATTGTAGGTGTGTGGTCTTTTTCCTGAGTTCTCTTTTCTGTTCCATTGGTCGATGTGTCTGTTCTTGTGCCAGGACCATGTTCATGGATAGGAAGAATCAATACCATGAAAATGGCCATACCGCCCAAAGTAATTTATATTCCCATTAAACTACCATCGACATTCTTCACAGAATCAGAAAAAACTACTTTAAAATTAATATGGAACCAAAAAAGAGCCCAAATAGTTAATCCTAAGCAAAAAGAACAAAGTTGGAGGCATCACACTCCCCGCTTCAAACTATACTACAAGGCTACAATAACCAATTCATGCTTTTCATATCCCTCTATCATTTTCAGTATTTCACTGTTTGTGTAGATAATATATCTATCATAGTTATTTGATCTGCACAATCTCTATGACTTTCTCTTCCATTCAATCACACCCTGTATCTTATGCATAATTGCTCCTATATCACAAATATTAAACTATGGTATTTGATGTTTGACCTTATTCTGTTATTCTTCTAGTTTATAAACTTTTACTTCTACTCCACTTGCTCTTTGAAATTAGTGTTCTAGTCTGTTGATCCTTTCATTGTCACCCAGGCTCTTGGACTTGCCTAGTGTTACTTCCTTTCATTTCAAGGCTGGATCCAAAGTAAATTACTTGGACTACTCTTTCAGCACCTTGTTCATATGACCTTCCACTGTATTTGTCTAGAAACCCTATTTGGGATCAATCCACAAACAATCTGTTTTGTCTTAGACTGATGAAAGCAGCTGAAGAAAATTCCACAATAAATTCATTATTTCCAATACCAGCATTCTTCAATAATCCTTCAATTTGTCATAAACCAGTCCTCTTCCCTATTCCTCTCAACTATTTTAAACCTTTGTCATTCTTCTCAAGTTGCCTATTTAGGGAAACTAGTATATTCTTTCAGTACAAAGTCAAGATGATCAGAAGAGACAAACCACCCATATTAGACACTAGCTAATTATTAATGCCTCATTCATATCCCCTTGGATCTCTTCACCAGTTTCACATATCCTGACTCCATTGAGCCTTCCCGCCCAAAAGGCAGCATCTGCATTTCTTTGTCTGAGGATTAGAGCTGTCCTCAGGTTGCTGAAACTAACTTTTGCCCGTGCACACTGACAATCAGAATTGCCTGAGAATTTGAGTTTCCAAACTAGGGCAGCCCTAAACTAAGACTGACAGATACAGAAGTACAAATAATGCAGCTCCCTGATAGGGGCAACAGTGAGGTGTGACCCACACAGTTTCCATGGTACTTTGCTTGATACATTACCCTTGCTTGGCCACCCTCACTTCCTTGCCCCACTTCCCAAAACTCTTATTTTTTTTTTCTGGGAACACTTCCCAATAAACTACCTTCATATGAATCCTAATCTCCGAGCCTGCTTGAGTGAAACCCAATTTAAGACATCAGCTTGTCTCAACCTACAAAATTAACTCACTTTTATATTTATCCTTACTTTTTCTTTTTGTTTCAGAAAATGAGGTGAACCTTCCCTATCTTAGGATAATCTCTCAACCTAAGCTCCTGACCTCATGAACTTTTTTCCTTTCCATCGACTCTCCTTCTCACCTATATCTTAAATCTCTTGTTCTCTAATGACTCCTTTCTCTTAGACTATAAACATAATAAAGTTTCTTCCACTGTAAGAGAAATTCTACCAATATGTTTCTTTCTAGCTGTTACCTTCTTTCTTTTATCAATCAAGTTTCTTGAACTAGTAATTTATAATTGTTTACTCCAGCTTAATTGCCTTCTGTTTATTTTTTAATCATCTACATTCTGCCTTCTTCCTTACTGAATTTAATGATACCAATCTAATTACACTGCAGTTCTGTCTATTTCTATTCAATATTTTTGTGGGTTTCTATATGGATACCTCTAATTTGGGGCTCCTTGCCTCAGAGTTAACACAACAGAAAATATATCACCTCTGAAATTCTCATTAAGAGAGACAGGAATAACAGAAAACAGTGGGTGGAAGGAAGTTTGATTGTCAAGAATAATGGAAAAAAGGCAAAAATCCAATGTCTAAAAGGGAATTTGATTATATACATTGCTATTGAGAATGGATTCAGATAAACATTCTTGTACTATACAACACATGTTTCATCTTCTAAAAATACCCAAAGACTGTTAGGAAAAGACAAACCAATGTCACATAAACACCGTAATTTAGAAACCTAGGGGCTGAACTAGCAAAAAATGTATGTGGTCATTCCATGATTAATATATTTTGTACTGTACTCTTCTGTGAGGTATATATAGGTATAGTTGCTATTCTTTATCCATCCCCACTATTAGCAACAACTCATAAAACCTTCTGCTTTCAATAATAATACTGCAGACTAAATAAAATAAAATCTTAGAAATAAAAGATAAATGAAAGAAATCGGGTGTTAATGTAAATTAACACAGCACTCAGTTTGCAATGACTAAGCTGACAAATATGAAGACAGATTCAAACATCATAATTAACACAACAGACTAAACAGAAATTGAAATTTGTTCTCTAAATAACACCATCTCAAGAATAATTAAGGCAGCAAAACTATAAAACAAAACTTTATTTTGGGGAGAATAAACCCAAAACTGTACAGATGGATAAATTAATAAATTGCCATTACTCAATGTCTTTATGATTAAATAAGAGAGAAAAAAAAACAACCTAAGGAAATTTTAAAAAAAAGAAAACAAAAACAGCAATCCAAGGAAAAGTAAGAGAAAATAAATACAGAGCTACCAAACCATGTTGTAGTTTTGACAGCCTCATAGAGCAAGGAGTGCATAAACCAAAGCCTAGAATTTTCAAGTGGTGTGGAGTCTGACAACATGCATGCACACACATACACACAAACACATGCTACAATTTCAGATTATTGATGAATCAGAAGCATGCCTGTGTATCTTCTTCAAACCCCAGGAGACTGCAAGAGAGTTGCTTTAGTTTGAACAGGGCATAGACAAATTGAGACAAATAAAACAGACAAAACGATCCCCCTGCAAAAGGTTTTAAACCACAAGCAGGCCTCTCTTACTCTCTTAAGTTTGCAACTCAAATTCACATTAATGTTTGATCCAATAAATCTCAAGTCATGAATTTAATTTAAAGTACCTGCAAACTCTGCCTCAGGTGACCTGCAGAAGTAAACATAAATCATCACTAGAAAATGACATTTTTGTATTAGGCTTTGGGAAACCCCCATAAATAATTTTTCGCAGACATTGGTCGGTATACAGAGAAAGATCACTAAAACGAGGAATCTAGGCACAATGAGAGAGAAACAACAGAAACAGCTAGAGCAGAAAGCAAATCCCCATACTTCAGATATTGAATTTATCAGGTGCATATTATATAAAAGGTTTAGGACCTCCACCAAAAGAAGTTTAAAATATCTGCAGAGTACAGGATATTTAAACAATAAACTAGATGATTTTATTAAAGAATCAAATACAACTTCCAGATATAAAAAGACTTTAGAAAGTAAAATGTGTGTATTACTAAGACACCCACTAAATCTAAATAAAAATAGACTGTATGTCTTCTATATTAGAAGAGGAGAAAAAATGATTTTAAAGCTATCGATCCAAATATAAAATAAATAAATGAAAAAAACACACACACAAAAGGAAAATGAACATAAAATGGGCAAGCTAAATAGAAAGCATTAAAAGAAGATGATAGTTTCAAACCCAGATATATCGGCGATTTTTTACATGTAAAGGAACTAAAGGCTCTGGTGCAAATAAAAAAGTTATCAGAAAGATTAAAAGTGATTAAAACTAAATTAACTACATATTGTTCATGAGTCATATCTAACACATAAGAAAACAGAAAAGTTGACAGTATATATGTTATGTAATTATTAACCAAAAAATCCTCTATTTTTTAATAAGAAATAAAGACTTTCATGTGAAAGGTTTTACTAGAAGTAATGAGAAAAAAGGTTCAACTTACCAGGGAGATATAATAAATTTCTATACACCTAATAATGAAGATTCAAAATATATAAATCAAAATTAACAAAACTACACAAAACATAGATGTCTCTCATCATAACATATCTCTTTCAGAAATTAACGTATTAGAGAGATTAAAGAAGTTAGGACAGATACAGAAGATTTGAACAAGATCGAGTAACAAATCTGACCTCATGGAAATATGGAGAATACCATACCCATTGATGGCAAAAGAAAATACACATTTAAAAAATCTCACTAGGTATATTTACAAAAATGTACAAGGCTATAAAGAAAATCACAACAAATTTCAATTATTAAAATAATATAGGATATCTTATCCTGCCACATGCAATTAAGGTAGAAATTAGTAATTAGGTGATAATGATAACATTGATAAGTGGTTGAAAATTAAGAAACACACTTCTAAATAACTCATGGTGAAATAAAATCAAAATACATATTAGAACATATTCTTAACTGTACAATAACAAAATTGCTATCAAAATTATGGCATACAGCTTACACAGTACTTAAGGAAAGCCATGTAGCCTTAAACACGTATATTAAAAAGATTTAAAAAAAAGTAATGAGCTAAGCACCTAGTTCAATCAGAAAGAATGAGATTAAAATTAAAGCCCCAAAAGAAAGAAGATGATAATTAAAATATGATGATAAATTTTTGAAATAGAAAATAACATAATAGATATTTACTATCATCTTCCTTTTCTTTGGGCTTATTTTTTGATTGGTTGATAAAATTTGACAAAGGAATTCCAAAATTTATATGGAAATGCAAAGCAAACAATAGCCTCTTGAAGTTTTGAAGAATAAGGCAAAAGGACTTTACCAAATATCAGGACTGATATTATTTTTAATTGACAAATCATTGTTGTATACATTTATGGGGTACAATGTGATTTTTTTTTTGAGATGGAGTCTTGCTCTGTCACCCAGGCTGGAGTGCAGTGCCGCGATCTAGGCTCACTGCAGCCTCTGCCTCCCGGGTTCAAGCGAGTCTCGTGCCTCAGCCTCCTGAGTAGCTGGGATTAGAGGCGCCCACCACCATGCCTGGCTAATTTTTGTATTTAAATGTGATGTTTTGATATACATATACATGTGGAATGATTAAATCAAGATGATTAACATATCGATCACTTTTCTTACCTATCATCTTTTTATGGTAAGACATTTGAAATTTACTCCTTCATTTTGAAATATACAATACATTATTACTGACTACAGTTGCCCTGCTGTGCAATAGATCTCAAAACCTATTCCTCCTGTCTATCTGAAACATCGTACCCTTTGATCAACAACTTTTCATTCCTTTCTCTCTACCCCACCCAATCTCTGGTAAGTATCATTCTACTCTGCTTCTATGAATTCAACTTTTTTAGATTTCACATAAAAGAGAATGTGCTATTGGTCTTTCTGTTCCTGGCTTATTTCAGTTAGCATAGTATCCTTCAGGTTCATCTATATTGTCACAAATGGCAAGATTTCCTTCTTCGTTAAGGCTGAATAGTATTCCATTGTGTATATATACCACATTTTCTTTATCTATTCATCTGTTGATGGCCACTTAGGTTGCTACCAAATCTTGGCTATTGTGAACAGTGCTGCAACAAACATGGGAGTGCAGATATCTCTTCAATATATTGATCTCCTTCTTTTGGGGTATATACCCACAAGTGAGGTTACTGGATCATATTGTAGTTCTATTCTTAGTTTTTTGAGGAACTTCTGTATCATTTTTGATAATGTAATTTACATTCCCACCAACAATGTACAAGAGTTCCCTTTTCTCTGTATTAATGCCGGCACTTATCTTTCATCTTTTTTATAAAAGCCTGCCTTACAGGTGTGAGGTGATATATCATTGCTATGTTATGAATATGGTTTGTCTAGCCCTACCAAGCTTATACTGAGATCTGATGCCCAGTGTGGCAGTGTTGGGAGGTGGGGTCTAGTGAAAGATGTTTGGGTCATGGGGGCAGATCCCTCATTAATGACTTAGTGCTGTTCTAGCAGTAGTGAGTGAATTCTTTATCTCTCAAGTCTGGATTGGTTCTTGGGGAAATAGATTCGTTCCTAGGAGAGTGAATTGTTATAAAGCTAGGACACCCCTCAGATTTGATCTCCTTTTGCACATGCCGGCTTCCCCTTTGACTTTCTCTGTCATATTTCAGCACAACACAAAAGCCCTGACCAGCAGCCAGTGGATGCTGACACCATGCTTCTTGCACGGCCTACAGAACTGTGAACTAAATAAACTTCTTTTCTTTATGAATTACCCAGCCTCAGGTATTCCTTTATAGAAACACAAAATTAGCTAAGACACTGATTATGCTTTTAATTTGCATTTCCCTGAAGAGTAGTGATGCTGAGCATTTTTTTCATGTACTTGTTTGCCATTTGTATATGTTCTTTTGAGAAATGTCTGTTCAAGTTCTTTGCCCATTTTTTGATCCAGTTATTTGTTTTCTTGCTATTGAGTTGTGTGAGTTCCTTATGTATTTTGGATACTAACCTCTTATCAGATGCATGGTTTGTAAATATTTTCTCTCATTCACGGGGTTGTCTCTTCTTAATATATTTAAGCATTTATTTAGTCATATTGATACTTGTTTCTTTTTTATTATGTATACTTTAAGTTCTGAGGTACATGTGCAGAACGTGGAGGTTTGTTACATAGGTGCCATGGTGGTTTGCTGCACCCATCAAACTGTCATCTACATTAGGTATTTCTCCTAACACTATCCCTCCCCTAACCCCCCCCACCCACCAACGGGCCCTGGTGTGTGATGTTCCCCTCCCTGTGTCCATATGTTCTCATTGTTCAACTCCCACTTATGAGTGAGAACATGCGGTGTTTGGCTTTCTGTTCTTGTGTTAGTTTGCTGAGAATGATGGTTTCCAGCATCATCTATGTCCCTGCAAAGGACATGAACTTATTGTTTTTTATGGCTGCATAGTATTCCATGGTGCCTATGCGCCACATTTTCTTTATCCAGTCTATCATTGATGGGCATTTGGGTTGGTTCCAAGTCTTTGCTAACATGAACAGTGCCGCAACAAACATACGTGTGCAACCTATCCATCTGACAAAGGGTTAACATCCAGAATCTACAAAGAACTTAAACAGATTTACAAGAAAAAAACAAATAACCCCATCAAAAAGTGGGCAAAGGATATTAACAGACACTTCTCAAAAGAAGACAATTATGCAGCCAACAAACATATGAAAAAAAGTTCATCATCACTGGTTATTAGAGAAATGCAAATCAAAACCACAATGAGATACCATCTCACACCAGTCAGAATGGCGATCATTAAAAAGTCAAGAAACAACAGATGCTGGAGAGGATGTGGAGAAACAGGAATGCTTTTACACGGTTTGTGGGAGTGTAAATTAGTTCAACCATTGTGGAAGACAGTGTGGCGATTCCTGAAGGATCTAGAACTAGAAATATCATTTGACCCAGCAATCCCATTACTGGGTATATACCCAAAGGATTGTAAATCATTCTACCATAAAGGGAGTTGCCTCTTTACTGTGTTGTTTCCTTTGCTGTGCAGAGACTTTTTAATTTGATGGCATCTTGTCTATTTTTGCTTTTGTTGCCTGTGCTTTTGGGGTCATAGATAAAAAAGTATTGCCCAGGCCACTGTCATAGAGCTTTTTCTCATCTCATGTTTTTTTCTAGTTGTTTTATAGTTGTAGGTCTTATGTTTAAGTCTCTAATCTATTGGAGCTGATTTTTTAATATGGTGTGAGATGAGGGTCCAATTTCATTCTTTGGCATGTGTATATTCAGTTTTCCCAACACTATTTATTAAAGAGACCATCCTTTACCCATTGCATGTTCTTGGCACCTTTGTCAAAAATCAAAGGACCATAAACATATGGGCTTATTTCTGGGCTTCCTATCCTGTTCCATTGGTTGATGTGTCTCTTTTTATGCCAGTACCATATTGTTTTGATTGATTACAACTGCTTTATAATAGACTTTGAAATCAAGGACAGTGATGCCTTCACATTTGTTCTTTTTGCTCAAGATTATTTTGGCTATTCTGGATCTTTTGTAGTATCATATAAATTTAATGATTTTTTTTCAACACCTTAATACCAAAGCTAGACAAGAACACACACACATACAAAGAAAATTACAGGCCAGCCAGGCATGGTGGCTCACACCTGTAATCCCAGCACTTTGGGAGGCCGAGGCAGGCAGATCATGAGGTCAGGAGATCGAGACCATCCTGGCTAACACAATGAAACCCTGTCTCTACTGAAAATACAAAAAAAAATTAGCCGGGTGTGGTGGCGGGCGCCTATAGTCCCAGCTACTCGGGAGGCTGATGCAGGAGAATGATACGAACCTGGGAGGTGGAACTTGCAGTGAGCCAAGATCACGCCACCGCACTCCAGCCTGGGTGACAGAGTGAGACTCCATCTCAAAAAAAAAAAAAAAAAAAAAAGAAAGAAAGAAAAGAAAAGAAAATTACAGGCCAATATCCCTGATAAATATAGATTCAAAACCATTCAACAAAACATTAGCAAAGCAAATTCAATAACATACTGAAAGAATCATTTACCATGATCAACTGGCATTTATGTCTACTAGAATGCAAAGATGGTTTAACATATGCAAATCAAAAATTTATAATACTCCATATTAAGAAAGCAAAGGGTAAAATCCCTACGATCATCTCAATCAATTTAGAAAAAGAATGTGACAAAATTCAACACTCTCTTGATTACAAAAAAAAAAAAACCCTCGATAAAGGCCATACATGCCAAACCTGCAGCTAACATCATTCTCGACAGCGAAAAGTTAAAAGTTTTTCCTCTAATATCAGAAACAAGACAAGGATGCCCACCCTTGCCACTTCTTTTCAGCTTAGTAAAAGAATTTCTAGCCAGAGCAATTAAGCAAGAGAAAGAGTTAAAAAGCATTCTTAATGGAAAGGAAGAGGCGAAATTGTCTCTGGTTACTGATGACATGATTTTTATATGTGGAAAACCCTACAGACTCCACCACAAAAAAAAAAAAAAAAAGAAAAACCTATCCAAGCTGATTAACAAACTCAGTAAAGTTGAAGGATACAAAATACCCTTACAAAAATCAGGAGCCTTTCTACATACTATGAATGAACTACCCAAAAAGAAAAATCAAGAAAACAACCCCATTTATAACAGCAACAAAAATAATATATTTGGTGTAAATTCAGCCAAGTAGGTAAAAGACCTGTATGCTGAAAACTATAGAACACTGATTAAAGACATTGAAGAAAACACAAATAAATGGAAAGATAGCTCATGTTCATAAATTGAAAGAATTAATGTTTTTCAATCTCCATACTACCCAAAGTGATCTACAGATTTAATGAAAACCTTACCAAAATACCAATGACATTTTTCAGAGAAATAGAAAAAAGACTATTTAAAAAAAATTAATTAGCACAGAGGGTATTGGTGCCAGAAGAGATAAACAAATGGCATTGAATAGAGAGTTCAGAAATAGATATAGGTTTATAAGACAATTGATTTGTGACTAAAGTAGCACCAAAGACTTTCTGGCAAATACAGGCTTTTCAATAAATGGTTGTAGGACAATTTGCTATTTTCAAAATTTATACAAAATTAAATTGTAACCTTACCCATAGTATACAAAAATGTATTACAGGTGGATTGAAGATCTAAATATGAAAGGCAGAATGATAAAGCCTGTACAATAGAAATGAACTTCTTCACAGAGTAAGAGAATATTACTTAAACTTACACAAAGTGATAACCTATAAAGGAAGCAACTGTTAAAACAGACTACATTAAAATTCAGATCTCTGTTCATTAAAAGATGCAAGAAAGTGAGTAAACAACAAATACCGAATGGTAGACGTTTGTCACACATCATACGTATATCTGATAAAGAAACATTATCCAAAGAATTCCTACAACATCATAAGAAAAAGAGAGAAAATCCAATAGAAAAATGGACAAAAGACTTAAAAAGGCACTTCACAAAAAAGGAAGGTCAAATTGTCATTAACCATAAGAAAAAGTGTTTGCCTCATTAATAATCATGATAATGAAAATTAGAAATTTAGAAATTAGAAATTAGAAAATAAGCTCTCACCACAAACTAATTGATTGACAAAAAAATTTAAAGTCTCATAATACAAAGTTTGGCAAGAATAATGAAGCACAAGAGATCTCTTACACTTCAGGTAGGAGTATAAAATGGTACAAACTCTTTGGAGAAAAGTTTGGCATTAGACTATAAATTTGATGATACACATATACATGATGTACTATTTCTACTGTTAGACATATATGTTAAAGAAACATATATTGATGCACCAGGATAATTGTTAAAGCATGTTCATAGAAACACTGTTCTGTAAAAACAGAACTGGAAACAATCTGAAGGTCTATCTTACAATAGAATGAATACATTGTGCTGTATTCATACAAAGGAATACCATACCACAATGAAACAGAATGAACTACAATTACATGCAACAACCTGTACACATCTCACAAACCTAACATTAAATTAACAAGCAAGAAGCCACAAAGGTTGTGAAAATTTTCTCCCATTTTGTAGGTTGCCTGTTCACTCTGATGGTAGTTTCTTTTGCTGTGCAGAAGCTCTTTAGTGTAATTAGATCCCATTTGTCAATTTTGGCTTTTGTTGCCATTGCTTTTGGTGTTTTAGACATGAAGTCCTTGCCCATGCCTATGTCCTGAATGGTAATGCCTAGGTTTTCTTCTAGGGTTTTTATGGTTTTGGGTCTAACGTTTAAGTCTTTAATCCATCTTGAATTAATTTTCGTATAAGGTGTAAGGAAGGGATCCAGTTTCAGCTTTCTACATATGGCTAGCCAGTTTTCCCAGCACCATTTATTAAATAGGGAATCCTTTCCCCATTGCTTGTTTTTCTCACGTTTGTCAAAGATCAGATAGTTGTAGATATGCGGCGTTCTTTCTGAGGGCTCTGTTCTGTTCCATTGATCTATATCTCTGTTTTGGTACCAGTACCATGCTGTTTTGGTTACTGTAGCCTTGTAGTACAGTTTGAAGTCAGGTAGTGTGATGCCTCCAGCTTTGTTCTTTTGGCTTAGGATTGACTTGGCGATGTGGGCTCTTTTTTGGTTCCATATGAACTTTAAAGTAGTTTTTTCCAATTCTGTGAAGAAAGTCATTGGTAGCTTGATGGGGATGGCATTGAATCTATAAATTACCTTGGGCAGTATGGCCATTTTCACGATATTGATTCTTCCTACCCATGAGCATGGAATGTTCTTCCATTTGTTTGTATCCTCTTTTATTTCGTTGAGCAGTGGTTTGTAGTTCTCCTTGAAGAGGTCCTTCACGTCCCTTGTAAGTTGGATTCCTAGGTATTTTATTCTCTTTGAAGCAATCGTGAATGGGAGTTCACTCATGAATTTTCACAACCTACTCATCTGACAAAGGGCTAATATCCAGAATCTACAATGAACTCAAACAAATTTACAAGAAAAAAACAAACAACCCCATCAAAAAGTGGGCGAAGGACATGAACAGACACTTTCAAAAGAAGACATTTATGCAGCCAAAAAACACATGAAAAAATGCTCACCATCACTGGCCATCAGAGAAATGCAAATCGAAACCACAATGAGATACCATCTCACACCAGTTAGAATGGCGATCATTAAAAAGTCAGGAAACAACAGGTGCTGGAGAGGATGTGGAGAAATAGGAACACTTTTACACTGTTGGTGGGACTGTAAACTAGTTCAACCATTGTGGAAGTCAGTGTGGCGATTCCTCAGGGATCTAGAACCAGAAATACTTTTTGACCCAGCCATCCCATTACTGGGTATATACCCAAAGGACTATAAATCATGCTGCTATAAAGACACATGCACACGTATGTTTATTGTGGCACTATTTACAATAGCAAAGACTTGGAACCAACCCAAATGTCCAACAATGATAGACTGGATTAAGAAAATGTGGCACATATACACCATGGAATACTATGCAGCCATAAAAAATGATGAGTTCATGTCCTTTGTAGGGACATGGATGAAATTGGAAATCATCATTCTCAGTAAACTATCGCAAGCACAAAAAATCAAACACCGCATATTCTCACTCATAGGTGGGAATTGAACAATGAGAACACTTGGACACAGGAAGGGGAACATCACACTCTGGGGACTGTTGTGGGGTAGGGGGAGGGGGGAGGGATAGCTTTAGGAGATATACCTAATGCTAAATGACGAGTTAATGGGTGCAGCACACCAGCATGGCACATGTGTACATGTGTAACTAAGCTGCACATTGTGCACATGTACCCTAAAACTTAAAGTATAATAATAATAAAGAAGCCACAAAGGAAAATCATGATTCCATTCATATAAAGTTCAAAAACAGCAAAACTAAAGTGTATTTTGTTATACATATAATAAAGTTATTTTTAAAAGTAAGATTAAGGATAGTGGAAGTAAAGTGGGAAAGAAAAGGTTGAAATTAGAAATAAGTTCGTTACAGGCTTCTGGAGTACCCACAATGTTATAGCTGTTGACTTAGTGGTTCTACAGGTGTTCACTTCTTAATTATTCTAAAACAGCGTGCATCTTTGTGTGATAATTATATTTACATATATAGTGTTTCATATTTTAAGCTAAAACACAGAAAAGTAAGTCCTATGCACAGTTGAATAATAAAAATTTCAGATTGTTGATTACATTGATATATATCCTTAAAAACTTAGTCTTAAGATTGATTGAAGAAATGCAATTAAAGCAACAAGGCATCACTCCACCTATCAAATGAACAAAAGCTTTTTAAAAAAATGCTAAACAATTCTGTTGAAGATAGGACGAGACAAGAATTCCATATATCTGCTAGTGTGAGCGTAAATCTATGCTTCCTTCCTTGTAAACAATCTTGCAGCATGAATAAAAAGCCTGTAAAAAAAAATCCATGCTTTGACTCAGTAACTGCACTTCTAGGAATCTACTGGACAGAAAAAAACCAAAGATTCAAAAAAGTCATGTTCAAATATATTTTCTGCAATATAACAGTATATTAGTTAAATTTTAAAAAATAAATTGAATGTGCATACTAACAGAATGGTTAAATAAACAATGGTCGTTGATACATCTAAATATTATACAGGTGAAAATTACATTTTAGAACTATTTTATGTGGAAAAATGTATATGATATATTAATATATTTGAAAGTCAGGATATATAACCCAGAAATATAAGTTTTCAATCAAAGAGATAGAGTGTCTTGTCCAATGTCGTAATACAATGAAAACAGAGAATGGAATTGAAACAAATATTATCAAAGAGAATAACTATAGCACAGGAGCGTTCAATCAATGAGTGCCCACCTGATCATGGTGTATTTTCTATGTATGATCATCAAAGTGGACAAATAAACATTCTTAAGAGCATTACCATTGAATTGCATAACTTAGTGGTCCATAATAATAATCAGTAGCCAACTATAGATTCTCACCCTGCATGTGTTCAGATAACCCTGACCATAAATGAGCCGATATTCACAATGCGTAAGTTGACAACCACTGTTTATGAGAAGATATCACTATTCCAAGAACACTACTATTTAGAATGAATACTAAATTTGCAATGGTAAATAAGTAGATATCCATAGTGAAGTAATGATGTTTTCACCAATAATATGAAGTCATTAAATCATGAAACATGTCATAATAGTGCTGGAGCACACAACTATAGGATGGTTATTATTCAGGCAGATACTGCATGTATTTTTAAAATTATGAAACAAATGGATTTGCTTCAGGATCAGATGCAACCATGCAAAAGATTATACTAATACATGCTCAAGCACACAGGGTACATGAACAGCTATCACTTAAGTTTGAAAAATTCATTATAATGGACACTCAAACAACTCTGCCACATTTGCTGCAAGGCATGCAACAGTAGACATTTGGAGATGAAAAAGGAAAAGAATGGTAATAGAAGAGCAGGCAAATGTGGTATATGAGCTAACCATCTAGGGCTTATAATACTTCATTCTTAGTACTATAGTAGACAATCATAGTTCAGGCATAGATACACATAGTAAATATGCACAACTCTACAACTTAAGACAGAAGGAGATGTCACTAATGATCTGCTTACTGAAGTATATGTGTTGCTTGACTTAAACACACACAAGGCATAGAAAGTAGTAGCTTTGGTCCAGAAGTAGAGGGTAATGGTATAAAAAAGAAAACCTCGGCATAGATCAAGAAGACCATAGCACATAAATATCCATCAACAGCGTTTTATAATTTGACCATGATACATAACAAACAACCTCAGATTATGAATTGAAACTTACGAAACAGGAGGAAGTAGCCATGATGCAGAAATAAATGGACATAGTACAGGTGCAATCACAAATACTGTGTTATGTGATACACAGAACATGAATTTTTAAAAATGGCTTTGGTCCAGGAGCTGAAGGAATTAATGCAAATGGAGATCCCACGGCACATTCCCAGACAACCATGCTGCGTGATGAAGCGGCACTACTAGAGGCTGAGGATTTGACCGTGATGCATAATCAGATGACAGCAGCTATATAAGAGGAGATAGCAATGATTCAAGAACACATCTATGCAGCCTAAGTGCAGACAGTAATTGATATATGAAGGAATGTAGCAGATGGCAATGATGCAAAAGGAGATCATGAATACCATATGATCACAATGTACCCTAAGACAACTGCAAAATGAGCTCTTGACTATGTTATGAGAAGATGATATAGAAGGAGACAACACTGATGGAGGGGAAGAATACCTCAGTGCCGGACCTAAAAACCATCATGCATCAGCTAATACATAGTCCAATACACAGAAGATGGCATTTTCGGTGCAGGATCAAACTATAATGGCTCATGCTTAGAAAATTGTGATTTTTTATATATGGTACATGGAAGGGAAGCATGGTAAATGATAAAAAAAAATATAGGAGCAGAGAGACATCGTTTAGAGCTTGTTCACATGGATAAGATTTGAGATTAAAAAAATACAACACAGGAACAAAGATTTGGGGGCAAAGTAAATGGCAATAGTAAAAAGTAAAACAACACAGTATATATTTAAATAGCAATGTGGTATGAACAAACATTCCTGGTGTTTGAACTTCTAATATACAATCAGTTTTCAACTTCTTTGCCTTTGGTTTGAATGTCCTCCCATAGCTCAGAGTAATTTGATCGTCTGAAGCCTTCTTCTCTCAGCTCGTCAAAGTCATCAATCAGATAACTATAAAGTGTATGCTGAGAGTAAGGACACAGAGCTAAAGGATGTGATACAGAAACTGACAGCAATGACAGGAAACCATAAAAAGGGAATTCAAATGAAATAAATTTGATATATAAACTTATTTCAATAACATGAATGATGGCTATCTCATTACAACAGTAGACACAATTATGCCTTATGCAGAAAACCATGGTATGTGAGCACATTAGATAACTATGGTGATGCACATACAAGTATGTTTGAGGAAAAATTAGAAATGGTAGGTCAAGAAAGCCATAGACTGGTACTTACCGAGAGGGGCATGGTACAATATTTTCAAAATAAGATGGCATGAAATAGTCCAGGAGCAGATGGCAATGGCCCTATAGATGACATCAAGGCAAATGGTTGTACAACATTTGTGCATTGTAAAGCCACCACCAGTGCTTAACCATTAGACTATAACACACACCAAGATAATCCCAGAACATAGGCTGCCAACCATGATAGAGAATGAAGAAAAAATTCTAGTATAATAACGATGATAACGATGATGAGGATATTATTAAAAATTATAATTATTTAGAACTTATTACATACCAAGCACTAAGCACTTTAAAAAAACAAGCATATGAGGTAGATGTTATTATTTTAGGGAAAAACAAAAAAAAGTGATTTGTATATAATGCAGTCTACCCTTATTATATATCAGTGGTGCTATGCTACCTCTAATGGATATGGTAAATTAAAAAACACATGCTTAACAGAGGAATTAATGGCTATATTGCTGATAGAGACAATAATTCCTGTTGCATAAATAAATATATAGTCCATTGCCAGACATTCTTGGTGTATGAGCAGTCACAATAGTCAGAACATTTGACCACAGGCACACTCAGATAATCCTGCAATATGAACTGACATTCAGGATGGCAGAAGCACAGGCAAACACGATACTGTCAAAATTAACAAACTGTTATTCATGATACAGATGATTCCATCCTTTTATCAGTTCAGGAGTAGACAATGACAACTGCATTTTTACACAACCATAGTGTATGAGCGAAAGTCTATAGTACAACCCCATACACAATATATGAGCAGAAATTCCTTACGCGTGCTCAGTCTACCATGGAGAATGAGCCAATACTTACACATAAAAGAAAACAGACATGACACAAAGAAAATAGCCACATAGTTGAAATTGTACAGATGATCACAATATATAATCGAAAAGCCACAATACGGGAAAGAATTCCTTGGTTTAGGAGGAGATGGCAATGGTAGGAGACACCATGACATGCGCTCCAATGATCACATGGAAGAAAAACTACCACTGGTGTTTGAGAATTTAACCACAATACACACCAATATACACTGAAAGGTGAGCTATCAATTATGATACAGGTACAGGTGGAAATAGAATAGTAGTCAACTACTGTGCTATTCTTTCTCAGAAAGACACGATGAATAATGAAATACAACACAGCAATGAATGACTTTGCCAAAGGAGTAAAGGGTATATGTGCAAAAGGAAAAACCAAGGTATAACATCAGACGACCATGCTGAATGGACAGCCACCACCAGTAATTTAGCATGTGACTAAGGTACACAACCAGACATTCTCAGAATGCAAGCTAAAAGTCATGATAAAGAATAAAGAGACATAATACAAATAATATAACAATATCAGCAAATACTTATCATTTATATGTGTCAGGCACTAATCTAAGCATTCTACATGTGCATCTTTGAATCCTCACAACTCTATGAGGTATTATTATTTATTTTACAGTTTAGAAAACAGAAACAGAAGGGTGAAATGACTTCCTCAAGAATTTCAAACTATTAAATAGGAGAACTGGGATTTAAGTCCAAGCAGTGAGCATTGTGCACATACACTGATGGTGCCATGCTTCCTCATATGGATGTGATACAAGATTAGAAACACAGAGCACAGGAACAAATGGCTTTGGTCCAGAAGCAGACGGCAATGTAGCAAAAGTAGACACCGTAGCACATGCTCAAACATCCGTGGTGCATGAGCAGCCACCACAGGAGTCTGAGCATTTGACCACGATGCACACTCAGGTTCTGCAACAGAAGCTGACATCCAATATATAGGAGTAGATACTGAGGACGAAGAAGGAGGCAAACACACTGTATGACAAAAAATCATGGTGCACAAAATTATATTCATGGTACAGAAAATTCCATTTTTAGTACAATGTAGACAACGATGGTGCATTTTCACAAATCATGATGAATGAGCAGAAGACCATAGCTAAAGGGCATAAGCACATTCATACAACCATGGAAAATTAGCCAGGGCTCACTTAGAGCCAAGAGACATCTTATGAGAAAATAATCATAAGTGGAGACCTCATAGATGGATATAGTACAAGATCAAAACATCTCAATACATGAATGATTATTTCAAATGTAGGTGGCAAAGGTGCATAGAGGACCCACCGTGTAACATGTTCAGACAAAAGTTGATGAAAGCCATTAGTGATATTTGACTGTTTGATCTTGACTTACACAGGTACACAAAAGTAGTTTACACTATTACGTAGCATTTATGCCAAAGGAGCTAAGAGGCATAGATAGATACAGCACACAAACTTGTTTTCGGAGAATAAAACCATGCTGTGGTGCTTACTTAGACAGATATTGTGCCTTATACAAGAGCCACGGTACAGGGGTAAACAGCTTTGTCCATGAGTAGATGTCAGATATGTCAAAAGAGACCTGACACCATATACTCAGATGACCATTGCATGAACAGCCACCACTAGTATTTGGGCATTTGACTATGATGGCTACCTACACAATCCCACGACATAAAGTAAAAGAATGATACAGGAGCAGGTAGACATGAAACCATGATTACCAAAACGGATATGGTTGGTGATTAAAAATCATTATTTTCTTTAGTCTGGGAGAAGATGGCAATGATTAAACGGGTGAAGTTATGATATATGCTGAAACAGCCATGTTGCATGAACAGCCATCACATCATAGGCATTTAAGCATTTGACTGATGTACAATTAGAAAGCCCAGTGACATGAGATAACATCTGTCTTTTTGGAACAGATAAACAATGTGCAGAAAAAGGCAGAAGTGATCTAAGAGTAGAGAGTCATAGAATATGAGTAAATACTAAACTCATATACACGATGCATAAAACACTATTTCCCTGTAAAGCAGTAGACAATGAAGGTTCCTGCTCAGAAACCATGGGGTATGAGCAGACAAGCATGCTGCATGCTCAGACAACCATGGTGCATGAGCAAAAACCTACAATATAAAAGCAGGTGGGTGTGATACAAGAGTGAATAACACAATGAGGAATATGCCCAGATGGACAGGACATATGAATAAAGGAAACATAACACATGAATACAACTTATTTAGGCAAACAGCATATGACAATGATGCTGGAGGAGATATCATGGCACATACTCAGGCAATCATGGTGCATGAGCAACTAACACTAATATTTGACTGTTAAACCACGATGTACACCCAGATATCCCAACAAAAATAAGCTGATGACCATAATATAGGAGCAGATGAACAAGGATATTGAAGAAGATGCTGATAATAAAATAGCAGAAAACGATAGTGCAGTAGCTAATAGAATACTACAGATGGCAACGATTCAAATGACTGCCATGGCATATACTTATATAATGATGCTTTAAACACTATCACAAGTATCAGCATTTGACCATAATGCACACTTAGAGAACTCCAGAATTTGAGCTGACAATTATTATACACGATCAAGGGACACAGTATCATTATCATCATTGTCATGTCATCATCATCATCATCATTGTTATCATCATCATCACTACCTGCCAGGCAGTATTAAAAATATTTTATGTATAATAGCTTATACAATCCTCACAATAACCTTACTACTTTTTTTGTCATTTTGCAGGAAACTGAAGCATGAAGATACGAATTGATGTGTCCATTTCATGAACTGATGTGTCCAAGATCTCATAGCTAGTAAGTGGATAATCCAGGATTCAAATTCAGTCATTTTGGCTCCACTATCCATTATTGTAAATATGACAATAAATGACAATATGCTGTGATTCTTCTGACAGACATGATACCAGATTTTAAAACAGAGCAGAAAAATGAGTGGCTTTGTTCCAGAAGCAGATGGCAATGTTGCAAAAGTAGACACCATAGCACATGCTCAAACATCCGTGGTGCATAAGCAGCCACCACAGGAGTCTGAGCATTTGACCACGATGCACACACAGAAGATCTGCAACATGAGCTGATACCAGGTTATAGGGAGTAGACAGATGACAAAGGACAGAGAAAACTCATCACAATAGTGAAAGACATGGTGTAGAAATTAATATACATAGTACAAAATACTCATTCCCAGTACAAGTAGACAATGATTGTGTATTTTCACACAAGTGTGGTGTTTAAGTTTAAATACGTAGTACAACTTCAATCACAGTATATGAGCACAAATTCATTATGTATGTTTATATTATCATGGAGAATAGGTCAATTCATACATGAAAAAGGGGATAGATATGGTATCCCAGGAAAGAATCACAGAGTAAAAACTGCTCAGGTGATACAAAAAATACGGGTATGTATGGCATTTTGTCAAAAAGAAGATCAAAATAATACAGGATGTTCAGATGAATAAGATGCCAAAAAGCATGTTTTAATATGTGTTCATGAGGTCCAGTCAGACACCTACAGGACATAGGCTATCAATTATGACACAGGTGCAGATGGACATGATATGGAAATAAAACATGGTGTGATTCTTACTTGGGTAGATATGGTATGTAATCAAAAATAACCATGCAAGCAATTAATGACTTTGGCCCAAGAGAAGATGACAGTGGTACAAAAAAAAGACTCACATGGACATAATGACTCATAAAAAAAATAACCATGGTGATTGACTCTACACATTTGTGTTTGGGCATGATATAAATCCAAACGATCCCATTACACAAACTAACAGCTATGATACAGTTAGTAAGCATGATACAGGAACAGACAGCAAATATGGAGAAAATACCCATTCTGCAGGAGCCAGTGACCACAATTCAGGAACTAATATTCATGTTATTAAAGTTATCATTCTCCACACAGAAGGAGATTATGTTTATTTTTTACACATTAATGATGGGTGAGCAATATCTATGATGTATACACAGAGAATCAATTAGTATACACATAAAATACACAAGCAGTTGGCTATCCTTCAGGAGTGGTATCCATTCAGACGCATGTCCCTATCCGATATCCACAATACTGAATCAAGTTTTCAGTTAAGGATAAGATGACAGTGGTGCAAAATGACACCTCATGCCATATGCTCAGATGGCTCTTTTGTTTGAGCATCTGATCATGGTGCACAACTTAACAACCATAAAATGTGAGGTAATGAATGATAATAGAGAAGACTATATCCCAAGACTATATCGCTGTAAATACGCAAAATACAGGAACAGTTGGATATAGTACAAGAGCAAAAAGCAATGTTGAAGTAGGAGCCCGACATGACTGATATATGAGCTAGTAACATGCTGCACAGTGTGATAACCATGACATAGAAGTTGGTCAATCACAGATCAATCTCAAACATCAGTGATATATGAACAGAGAACTAAGCTGTAGTGCTTCCTCGGATGAACACATGCCTAATTTAAAAGCTATAACATAAAAGCAAATGTCTCCAAATGTAAATGCTATTATGGGTTGAATTGTGTTCTACAAAAGAGGGGCACTGAAGTTATAACTCCCAGTACCTGTGGATGTGACTTTATTTGGTAATAGGGTCTTTGTAGATGTAATCAAGTTAAGATGCCTTTATAATGGATTAGGGTCAGCCCTAAATCCAATCACTGGTGTCTTTATAAGAAGGGGGAAATTTAGATATAACAGACAACGAGAGAAAACCATATGACAATGAAGTTAGAGATTGGAGTGATGCTGCCACAAGCCAAGAAACACTTGGGATTACCAGAAGCTGAAAAATGCAAGGATGACTCCTTTGCTAGGCTCGAGAGAGAGCACGGCTTTACTGACACTTTGATTTAGAACTTTTAGCCTCCAGAACTGTGAGAAAAACATTTCTGTTGTTTTAAGCCACCTAGTTTAAAGCACTTTGTTGTGGCATCCTTGGGAAACAAATACAGATGACATTGTTACAAAAGGACTCTGAGACATGTTTAAATGACTGCATGGTGTATAAATATCTCCCCCTGTAGTTTTACCACCTGAACAAAAATCACACTCAGAAAACCCCTAAATATTATCAGGAAGTCATGATGTATGAACTGACAGCCATAGTACAGTGTGCTCACAATCATCTATTATTAGAAGTAGAGAGTAGTAGAATCATCCAAATACCTTGTGACTATAGTCAACATTGTACATGAGGATACTACATTGATATGTTAAACAATGCAACATGCCAAGAAAATAATTCATGAGTTGGAAATCACAACACAATAGCCTTAAGCTCCGGGACAGGTGTATACCATCATGGTAAATGTTCAGATAAACTTTAAACAAGGTAAATTGCACCTAACACAGAAGTCACTGGCTCTGGCTTGATACATGGGCAAATATAACTAACATGCTTGAAAATCATGACATATGACATCATAAACATGGTTCACGTTCATGTGCATAAACTCTTCTTATATAGGAGCAGATACTTATAATTCAGGATCAGAAGGCCATGGTGCTTGCTTGGATACCTAAGCATGCAGAATCATATTACAGTGACAAAGGGCAATACTTCAGGGAAAGATAACCATAGAATCACGCAACATATCATGTTAACACAGCATTGGTGTGTGAGCCAAAGGCCATGGTGCAAGAGTAGGTTACCCTAAGTCTAAAGGCATACAATCTCTGCAGAAGCTGGTCCCAGGGAAATGCACTGAGGAGTGAAGGCATATTTGGCTTCTATAAGAGACGGCTTGTGAGAACCACACTCTTTACACCTTCTGTGGCTTCAGTGATCAAATAACTTATGGCCAAAACTTGGACACTTTGGAAAAAGCAAACTTTAATATGCCAAGATAATAGGTGTAAACCAGGACTATAGTAGACATATGGTCACCCTGCCTATGGTCATTTAAGATTTCTCTTCAACCTGATAACCAAACAAAAATCTTTTTCCTTTTTAGAATATCCTGCAAATGCTATTTCTAACAGAAGCAGAAGCCACAGGTGACAGGTTATGCTTCAGGTAGGAAATGTTCTTGATCACATCAAAACTCTAGATCTCGGGGAGTAAACAAACTCTACTTATTACTACCCTCTTAAAGTCCTCTTCACTCCAGACTATTTGTATTCCGAATAAACATTTAGTACTTCAGCCATTCAGCAATATTGAGAAAAAATCTTGAATGATCCATCTATGACTTTGCCTCGACCATTAACCTTTCTAAAATATACTTATTTTCCCCTATTTTATTTTTCTTTTCTTTCTAATTTTCTTACACGAAAGGAGAAATTTCTCCTGTTTATTATGTCTCTTCAACTTCTCTCAGAGCACCATTTCTCACATTTATGGATCGGGCACAATAACCACCTTATCGAGCTGTCGGGATTAAATAAGATACTGTCGAAGTATCTATCCCAAGGTGAAGCATGTAGTAGGTGCTTGGTGACAATGTCATCAACAGCACTATTACTCTGTCATCAAGTCCTTTGCTGCTGGGCTATCACAATTGACACCCTCTAAGGCTACCCTGACTGTTAGGAATGGCCCAGGGCCATTCTGCAGTCTTTATTTGGGTGACTTTAGTTATAATCTCTTCCCTCAGGATCAGACCATTAGCTTTTATGTCTACTTGTGGCCACAACTGCAACCTCCTTTCCTCTTGGTTTCAATTCTGCCTCAGCCTAAGGAAACAAAAAAGATTCCCAAGCATGCCTAAGTCCTGTTTAAATGGGTTAGGCTCTGAATAAGGTCAGATAGCTCAAGTGGCTTGGCTTTCATATTATATCTGCCAGCTGGAGTTTTTCCACCTTTTTTTTTTTTTTTTGGGCTCTACAGCCCTGTTCTGTTCCTAAGGGCCAGGCCCACAAGGGATACTTCAGAACCACCAATCTATTCCTCCAGATGACACAGCAGACCCTAAAGAGAATTGCTCTAACTTAAATAACTTCTAACCTCACCATTTTTCTGGCCCTTCCCAGCCTTTGGCTGTGGTTCTTATGAGAGGGAGGACAGTGTTGACCCATATGTCATTGGTTCTAAACTAGCTATGATCTCTTTGTTACTGCCACCCATCTAACAACCTGAGGCTCTTAGAAAACAGAATGAAGGGTATAGAAAAAAAACTATTAGGAAAGAGACATATTTTTCTCCTTTTATATAAAAAGTACAGAAGTTTTGAAACAATTCAGATTTAATTTGCTGATATATGTTTCTACTTAGACAAACATTAAATTCTATAACATACATAATGTCAACATAGGAAAATACCAAGTTTGTGATTGCACATACCAATAAATAAATACATTTGCTCAAGAATATTTTTAAAAAAAGCATACAACCATGTTGTGTGCTCAGAATACCATAGTACACAAGCAAACAAGCATGGAAGAGAATCAGGTGGTTACAGTTAAGGAACACAGAAAAGAAGCAATCATGGTGTGGGAATGTGTCTCCAAGATGTGTGTGGAGATAGTCATGATATATCAATATGCACTCAGCCTGCAAGGGGATAAAACATTTTACTTTCTCAGAAGAAGCAAAAAGAATTTGATTGATGGCTTGGGGAGAACTAATTTCTGGTCAGATAATCTAGTTCCCAAGAGGCAAGCTTCCTACTCTATCTAGTAAAGACTCACACAGATCAGGGCTGAGGAAAGAGACAATCTCAGTCCTAATTCTTGGAAGTATCTTAAGATAATAGAGGTGTGCCATCACAGCCACTCAGGCTAGGTGAGTATAATGCTCAAACAGACACAAGTTTAATCCATGTATTCATGTTCTCAGAAAATATTTTACAATTGTGCTAAATTCAGACAACACAGTATTCAACAAAATAAGGATTCTCAACTTTAAGGGGTTGATAGTTTACTGGAAAGAAATGCTAATTATTATGAAGTATGATTTGGGGAATAGAGGAAGATATCACTGGGAAGTTTCTGAGTAGGAACTGGTGAAGCTCAGATTTTAAAAAAAATAAAAAGAAGCGGAAGAATTTTCTATCACATATGAAGACCAAAGGGAGCCAAAGATCATACTAGGCTAGAAAATATGAAAGTAGTTCAGTACTTCTGAAGCAAAGAGAAATAAGAGGAGAGTGGATAGAAATAAAACCAGAGAGGTAAGCAGAAACAGTTCATGTGTGGTCTCACAAGCCACTTCAAAGAGTTTAGGTTTGATTTTTAGAGAAAAGAGAAACCACTGAAGAATGCTGTCACACTAGCAGATTTGCATATTAGAGAGAGCTTTCTGATTGCTAGATACAGATTGGATTTAAAAAGACTAAACTAGAATCAAGATTGGAAGTGAAATTGATGCTGGGACATTGAGTAAGAGGATCCAGTCAGACATAGCGAGGTGATTTTGCAATAGCTAGAAGGAAGACTGCAAAACTCTACAGGAATAGCTTTGAAGTTCTGAGCACCCCTAGAGCCCCAACCTAAGGGAACCCTAGTGACTTACCTATTTGGTAAAGACATCATCAGACAGACAAACACCACCTTCTGTAGTATGAATCAAGGCCTTTATGTTGAAGAGCTAAAATGGACAACATACAGTGGGGACCTCAACATTGCAAGTGAAAATATGAGGCAGAGAAACTGGGGAAAGGGGTTCTCTCTTTTTGAGCAAAGAGGATACACACACGTCACTCTGAAATATATAAAATATTTTCTCACGTTAATTTATGTTTTATTAATATTAGTTTTATTTACTCATTTAGGAACCTAGACATTAAATTTAAATACAAGTAGGCTGGGCACAGTGGCTCACTCCTATATTCCCAGTGCTTCGGGAGACTGAGGTAGGAGGATCACTTGAGGCCAGGAGTTTGAAACCAGCCTGGGCAACATAGAGTCTCTGCAAAAGATCCCATCTGTACATAAATAGATAAATAAATAAATAAATAAAATTAGCTGGGCATCGTGACACGTGCCTGTAGTCCCAGCTACTTGGAAGGCTGAGGCGGGAGGATCACTTGATCCCAGGAGTTGGAGGCTGCAGTGAGCTGTGATCTCGCCACTGCACTCCCGCCTGGGCAACACAGTAAGACCCTGTCTCAAAAATAAATAAAATAAAATAAAATAACATTAAATAGTGGCTCTCTTAGTGTGGTAGCAAGATTTTGGTCCCCATGATCTCTGTCCCCTAGTATTATCCCTATGAATATGTAAACATTACACAACCAAAGAGACTTTGCATATGGAATAGTTGATAATCAACTGACTTTAAAATAGATATAGTATCCTGGATTACCCAGGTGGGTCCAATATAATTACATGAGCCTTTAAAAGCAAAAGAGGAAGGGCAGAGTAAGAGATCAGAGAGATGGGGCAGAGGAAGAGGCAGGAGAGATTCAAAGTGTAAAATGTCCTCAATCCTCCATTGATGCTTTTGAAGATGAAGGGATCCCATGATCCAGGGAATGTAGGTGACCTCTAAGAGCTGATAAAGAAAACTCTGGCCAACAGCCAGCAAGGAAACAAGGACCTCAGTTTAACAACCACGTAAAACAGAAGTCTGTCAACAACCTGAGTGAGCTTGCAAGCATATTCATCACCAGAGCCTCCAGAAAAATAATGTAGCCCTTACAATATTTTGACTTCGTCTTTGTGAGACTCTTTAAGAAAAGGACCCAGGTCAGCCAACCAGACTTCTTATCTATAAAGCTGTGAGATATAAAACGTGTGTTTTTTTAAACTGTTACATTTGTAGTAGTTTGTTACATCAGCAATAGAAAGATAATACACTTAGGCTCTTTATCTCTAACAGGAGGATAATAGTTCTTTCTTTTGGAATGTGTGATGATTTAATGTGTGTATATATATATATATATATATACACACACACACACACAAACACATATACTCTACAAATTGATTAGAGTACACAGCATGCACTGAGTATCCAATAAGTGGCGGCAAGTGATGTTACATTAATATAATAAATTATATCTGTGCTCTTATGATGTATTTTGCCATTCATTATCAGATTTTATCCTTATCACAATCATGATAGGTAAGCAAGGTAAGAATTTTTCAACTTACATAACAGATAAAAATCTAAAACACAAAGAGGTTTTTACTTGCTCACAAACCAATTACTAATAAGTGTAAAAGAAGGGACTGAACTGAAAACCTCTGACTCTTGGTCAAATGATATTTCCATAGTTTACTTAAAATGTAAATATTTCTGGAAGAACTTTCTATGATGGCGAAAATTCAGTTATACTATTGGGAGTGGGAGGAATACTTTTTGCTCGAGTTGTTGTTTGATGCCTCCAATGTAGCACAGGGCTGGCCTAGGCTCTTGGAATGAATATTTGCAAGAAATGTAATTTCACAAAGGGTCTGCTTGGAGACCATTGTAGGAGAACAGCGACTATAGGATAGAGATTTGGATAAGGCCATGTAGAAACCAGCACTAAGGGATTTAGGAATCTGCTATAGCTCTCTGAAGAGCAAAAACCATGTAGTTCTTAAGTCCAGAGCATTCTGGTTTCAGCCAAAGCCATTAATCCTCTCTGCTTCCTCCTTCTTCAGCTCACCCACATACCCCTCCCAATAGCTTCACAGTTCAGCTTTATTTCAAAGTTCAAGAATCTCAGATATAAATGCAGCATGATATCTGAAGCTAGAAAGCAACCACAGGTAGAAGAAGCAAAGGCTACTTTCATATGTCCAAATGAAGAAACACAATAGTACAGGACCTCCGTAAGGAATACTGTTCATATCTGGATAAATGGTGAACTAAAGCAGAATCTCCTATTCCAGAAGCTGATGGAGGAAAACTTTTCTCTATTCTGCAGACTGTGCCAACGCCTTAAGCCAATGCTTATCCCTCCAGCCGTCACACACTGTCTACATGTCAAGGTGGGGAAGGACACTAGGAAATTCATGGAAATTAGCATACAGCGAAAACAAGATTGTCTGTGTGATGTAATCTCTTTTTGCTACACAGATAAATTTAAGGAATAGATTTTAAATTAGCCGTAAGTTTTGGAACATTTCACTTCCTCTACTGAGTCTCAATTTCCTCATTTATAAGATGAATTGGTCAAACTAGATGATGACTAAACTTCTAAGTCTAATAATCTATAATTCAGAGAAATGTCAACTGAGAATGAAGCAGGAGCATAAAAGCAGCACTGGGTCCCTATGCACCTTTCTTTCCCTATGTCTCAGTTTTACTTCGAATCAGAAACCTTCAGGATAATAAAGATATACAACAGATATGGAAGTAAAATATTATGATAAAAATGTTGAAATAATTAATTATATAAAAATATTGACTATATAGCATGTGACAGATACTGTACCAAGAATGGGGATACAAATATAAAACAGGAAAAATGTCTTCCTGGGGACAGACAAAAACATAACTAACATTTACCATAAAACATAATTAAATATCAAAGACAACACTTTATGCACTGTATTGTTGTCCACTTGAAGAAGAAGCCAACCATAATTTGAGAAGGCCAAAGAGAGTATAAAATTGAATAAAGGAGGTTACATTTTAGTGAAAACTTGGAAGCTATATTAACATAAGAAGAAATAGGATGGACATTTTATAAGAGTTAATACTTTATTTATGTGAAGTCTACAGAAAACTTTCTACTTAGTAGTGAAACATTAAAAGGAGTCCCTCTAAAGCTGGGAAGGAGATAAAACTGGCTGCTAACACTAACTTTATTCAATATAGTACTAAAATTTCTGGCCAATGAATTAAGCTAAGAAAAAAGAATGAATAAATATTAGAAAAAAGAGAAAAAGTGTTAGTTTGCAATGGAATAATAGTTTACTATAAGATGGACAAATAATAAATAAAAATACACTAGTCAATATCCTTTGCAAACATCAACAATAACCAACTAGAGAATGTAATGGAAGAAAAAAGCCATTCATATTAGCAAAAAAACTATAAAACTTAGAAATATATATAACAAAATATACACAAAATTTACTAGAAGAAAACTGTAAAACTTTATGAAGAATTTCTGCTTATGGCTATAATGGACAACTTTATATAACAGACCAACTCATCCACCAAGAAAATCTAGAATACTTCCATAAAATGTGTGTGTGCTTGTGTGTGTGCACACGTGTGTGTATGTGCACACGTGTGTGTGTGTGTGTGTGTGTGTTATTTCACCAGGGAGCCAACGCAAATAGGATTTGAAGGGCCAAGATTTTGGAGTTAAAGAAAACTTGCTGAGGTGAGCCTGATATACTATACTTCTTAACCCCTGTCAGAATTTGCTGACTGGTAAGTTACCAAGTAACTAACACAGCCAGAAAGGCTGAAAAGTCAAGCAGAAAGCAATGATTAAGAGACAGAGAAGTGGAACACAGTTTCCTACAGTATCACAGAGGTGGTGAAACAAAAATCAAAGTTCAGGGCTTTATATAACCCAGGTTTTGAAAAACCAAGATCCGGGAGAAAGCAGAAGAGCCAAGAAATGAGTCTGACAGTCTGAGCCACATTTTCCAAGGAGGCATTTACTGATTTCTAAATGGTTGTGTTGGAGAACTCAAGCAGAAAAAAAGATGTTAAAATGATTACAAGCTACTCATCAGCAGTATCATGGAGTTTGGGGCCCAGTAAGGTCAGTGTCCCTGGTAAACCCCCAAAATTTCAGCTGGAATGCTTAAGGGCTACACAAAGAGTAAGGATGGAAAAGAAAGATATGATCCTCTCTTTAAAAAAGATAACAGAGGACTTTGGGTTCCAGACAAGATGAAATACAATCATTTTCCCCATTCCTCTCAAGTTTTTACAATTAAAACTCTAGACAAACCACAGCAGAAAATTATAAAAAGTTGCATATAAGTGGAAAGGAAAAGGCAGACTGGCTAGGGACCTTGAAACTTAAGAAACAACATGGCAGGGAGTTCCCTGCATTTTCTTTTTACCTCCCCCATACCCCAAACTAGGAGTTAGAAAAGCTTGTAACAAAGAACCACCAACAGAGGCAGACAAAAAAAAAGTCCCAAATAAAAGTCTGCTCTCTCTAGCCAAAGGACCAAGAAAGGGACATCCCAGAAAGACAGAAAACTTATTGACAATACCTGCACTACCCTAGCCAAACACCACAAACAGTCCATCACCAGCAGTGAAAGAGGAGGCCAAGTGAGGGGCTCAAACTTTCAACTCCATCCAGCAGTACAGGTAGTCTGAGGTGATGATTCCCTCCTCTGTGGACAGAGCACTGGCAGAGGCTGAGTGAGGAGTCTAGACCCCAAACCCTTTCAACCAGGAGAAGCAGGAGAGCCAGGAAGTCATTTATTATTATTATTATTATTATTATTATTATTATTATTATTATTATTATTGGTTCTCAGTGTCTAAGGAAATTTCTGTCAAATCACTAGCTAAGTTAAGAAAACACAGACTTCAATGACCACAAAACACATAGAGTGCAGTCTTAAAAAATAGTTTAGAGGACGGAGGTGGAGCAAGATGGCTGATTACAACCCTCCACTGATCGTCCCCCTGCAAGGAACACTGAATTGAACAACTATCCACGCAAGAAAGCAACTTTATAGGAAAAAAATACTCATGTAAGAGATCAAATTATCTGGTTTCAATATTTAATATAATATCAAGGGAGGAGGCATTGAAGAGGATAAGAAAGACAGTCTTGCATTGCCTACACCACCCCTTCCCTCTCCCCTAACTGTGCCTTGTGGAGAGAGAGAATCTGTGTGCTTGGAGGAGGGAGAGCAAGGTGAGTATGGGTCTTTGCATTAGAACTCAGTGGCCCTGTCACAGTGGAACATAATACAAGGCAGAATTCTGCTGGTGCCACGGTGCATCTACACCAGCCCAAGGCCAGAGGGTACTTACGCACCCTTGCAAAAAAAAAAAAAAAAAAAAAATGCAAGTCCCAGTCAGCTCCACCATCAGCCAACAAAAGTGGCCTGGGGCCCCAAATAAACTTAAGTGACTGTCAGGGCACAAAGACTGCAGGCCTTGGGCAAGTCCTGGTGCTGTGCTGGTCTCAAAGGCAGTGGACGTGGACTGTGCATGACCCAGTGCAACAGCAGCTATGATGTATAGGGCCTGTGTCACACTTTCCCCAACTCCAGGCAGTGCATCTCAAGGAAGACAGTCCTTCCACTTGGGGGAAGGAGAGAGAAGAGTACAGAGGATTTTGTCCTGCGACGTGGATACCAGCTCAGCCACAGTAAAATAAACCACCAAGCAAATTCCTGAGGCGCCTAATTCCTGGCCCTAGCTCCTGGATGGCATTCCTTGACTCACCCTGGGCCAGTAGGGAATCGCAACCCTGAAAGGAAGGACCCAGTCCTGGCAGGATTCACCACCTACTGACTAAAAAGCTCTTGGGCCTTGAATAAACATTAGTGGTAGCTAGGCAATAGATTCCATGGCCCTTGGGCAAGATCCAGTACTGTGCTGGCTTCAGGTGTGACACAGCACAGTCCTAACCATGGAGGCCATGAGAGTGTTCACATGACCTCTCCCCTAACTCCAGATAGCCCATCATGGAGAGACAGGCTGCTTCTAATTAATGGAAAGAGAGGGAAAGTAACAGGCTTTGCGGGGTAATCTAGGGAATTCTCTCTTATCTTACTTAAGCCCACCAAGACAGTGCCTCTTGGGGTCTGCAAGAGTCACATCATTCCCGAGTTTAGTGTGCTCCCAAGTGCTGATACAGCTGCAATGACCCCAGGCTTAAATCACAAGATATATGAGAGAGAGGACCAACAAAACAACCAGAAAACAAACGACAAAATGGCAGTAAGAAGTTTGTACTATTAATAATAACCTTTAATGTAAATGGACTAAATTTTCCAATAAAAGATATGGAATGGCTGAATGGATTTAAGAAAACAAGACCCAAATCTATGCTGTCTGTAAGAAATTCACTTCGCCTGTAGAGACACACGTAGAATGAAAAGAAAAAAAGGATGGAAAAAGATATTCCATGCAAATGGAAACCCAAAACAGAAGGATTAGCTATCTTATATCAGATAAAATAGATTTCAAGACAAAAAAAAAACTATAAGAAGAGAAACGGAAGGTAATTATATGATAATAAAGGGGTCAGTTCAGCAAGAGGATATTACAATTTTAAATATCTATGCACCTAACACTGGAATATATATATATATATATATATATTTTTATATGGCAAATGTTATTAGAGCTAAAGAGCAAGATAGACTCTAATACAATAATAGCTGGGGACAACTACTTCCCACTTTCAGCAATGAACAGATCGTCCAGACAGAAAATCAAGAAAGAAACCTCCAAGGTAATCAGCACAATAGACCAACTGGACATAATAGACATTTGCAAAATATTTTATCCAACAGCTGGAGAATACACATTCTTCTACTAAGCACATGGAACATTCTCAAGGATAGACCATATGTTAGGCCACAAAGCAAGTCTCAAAAAATAAAAAAATTACATAAGCTATCTTTTTCTTCCATTCACATGGAATATAACTAGAAATTAATAACAAGAGGAATTTTGGAAGTATACAAACACATGAAAATTAAATATGTTCCTGAATGACCATTGGGCCAATAAACAAGTAAAAAGATTTTTAAAAAATTCTTGAAACAAATGAAAATGAACACACAACATATCAAAGCCTATGGGGCAATACAAAGAAGGAAGTTTTTAGCATAAACACCTAGATTGAAAAGGTAGAAAAGCTACAAATAAATAACCTAAGGCTTCATCTTAAAAACTAGAAAAGGAAGAGCAAAACAAACTCAAAGTTAGTAGAAGAAAGGAAATAATAAAGAGCAGAGCAGAAATAAATGATATTGACACTAAAAAAATACAAAAGATCACCAAAATGAAAACTTGTTTTTAAAAAAATAAACAAAATCAACAAATATTTAGCCCAACTAACTTACAAAAAAAGGAAAAATTTCAAATGAATAAAATCAGAGATGAAAAAGGAGACATTACAAATAATATCACAGAAACTAAAAGGATTATTAGAGATTATTATGTGCAACTATATGCCAATAAATTGGAAAACCTAGAAGAAATTGATAAATTCCTAGACATATACAACCTACAAAGATTGAACCATGAAGAAATCCAAAAGCTGAAGAGATCAATAAAAAGTAATGAGATAGAAGAAGTAATAAAATGTCTTCCATCAAAGAAAAGCTCAGGACCTGATGGCTTCACTGCCGAATTCTATCAAACATTTAAAGAAGAACTAACATCAATTCTACTGAAACTGTCCCCAAAAAATGCAGAGGGAATACTTCCAAACTCATTCTATGAGGCCAGTATTACACCAATACCAAAACCAGAGGAAGACACAACAACAGCAACAAATTGCAGGCCAGCATCACTAATGAACATAGACGCTAAAATCCTCAACAAAATACTAGTAAGCTGAATTAAACAACACATTAAAAAGATCACTCATCATGACCAAGAGATGAGTCAGGAATAAAAGGATGTTTCAACATATGCAAACCAATCAGTGTGATACATTATTATCAATAGAATGAAGGACAAAAACCATATGATCATTTCAAATGATGTCAAAAAAAAGAGCATCCAATAAAATTCAACATCCCTTCATGACAAAAACTCTCAAAATCCGGGTACAGAAAGAACATATCTCAACATGATAAAAGCCATATATGACAAACCCACACTAGTATCATACTGAGCAGGGAAAAATGGAAAGTCTTTCCTCTAACATCTGGAACTAAAGAAGAATGCTCACTTTTGCCACTTTTATTCAACATAGTACTGGAAGTCCTAGCCAGAGCAATTAGACAAGATAAAGAAATAAGGGGCATACAAACTGGAAAAGAAGAAGTCAAATTATCCTTTTTTGCAGATATAATCTTATATTGTTAAAAACCAAAAGATTCTACCAAAAAAAACCATTATAACTGATTTTTAAAAACTCAGTAAAGTTGCCGGATACTAAATCATCATGCAAAAATTAGTAGCATGTTTATATGTCAGCAGTGAACAATCTGAAAAAGAAACAAAGAAAGTATTCCCATTTACAATAGCTACAAATAAAATAAAATATCTAGAAATAAACAAAAAATGAAAGATATCTACAATGAAAACTGCAAAATGTTGATGTAAGAAATTGTCAGACAAGAAAATGGAAAGATAGTTCACGGATTTTAGAAGAATCAATACTGTTAAAATGTCCATTCTATGCAAAGCAATCCACAGATTCAATGTAGTCCCTATCAAAATGCCAAAGATATTCTTCACAGAAATAGAGAAAATAGTCCTAAATGTATATGGAACCACAACCACCAAGGACCAGGAGAAGTCAAAGTCATCCTGAGGAAAAAAAAAAAAAAAACCTGGAGAAATCGTATTACCTGACTTTAAATTATACTACAAAGGTATAGTAACTAAAGTAGCATGGCCCTGGGATAAAAACAGACATATAGACCAATGGAATAGAATAGATAAATCAGATATAAATCCATGCATTTGTGACCAATTCATTTTTGACAAAGATGACAAGAACATACACTGGGACAAGGACACCCCTTCAATATATGTTGCTGAGAAAACTGGATATCCAATATGCAGAAGAATGAAATTCAACCCCTGCTTCTCACCATACATAAAAATAAAATTGGCCAGGCATGGTGGCTCATGCCTGTAATTCAAGTGCTTTGGGAAGCTGAGGCAGGAAGATCGCTTGAGGCCTGGAGTTTGAGACCAGCCTGGGTAACATAGTGAGACCCAATCTCTACAAAAAATAATTTTTAAAAAATTATCCAGGCATGGTGGTACATGCCTGTAGTTTCTGCTATTCAGGAGGTTCACTCTTGTCTAGGAGTTTGAGGTTATAGTGAGCTATGATTGCACCACTGCACTCCAGCCAGGGTGACAGAGTGATACCCTGTCTCTAAAGAAAGAAATCAATCAATCAAATCAAAATGGGTTAAAAACTTAAATCTAAGATATGAAACTATAAAACTATTGAAAGAAAACATTAGGGAAACACTCCAGGACATTGGTCTGTGCAAAGATTTATTGACTAAGACCTCAAAAGCACAGGCAAACAAAGCAAAAATGGACAAATGGAGTCACATAAAGCCAAAAGTCTACATAGCAAAGAAAACAGTCAACAAAGAGGCCACTTGTAGAATAGAAGAAAATATCTGCAAACTACCCATGTGAAAAGAGATTAATAACCAGAATATACAAGGAGCCCAAACAACTCAATACCAAAAAAAATCTGATTTATAAATGAACAAAAGATAGGCAATAATGAATGCTGGCAAAGATGTGGAGAAAAGGCAACCCCCATACACTGTTGGTGGAAAGGTAAATTAGTACAGCCACTATGGAGAACAGTACAAAGATTCCTCAAAAAAATAAAAAGAGAACTATCGTATGACCTAGCAATCCCACTGTTCATTATATACCCAAAAGAAAGGAAATCAATCTAACAAAGAGATATCTGCACTGTTATGTTTATTGCAGCTGTATTAACAATAGGCAAAATAGAGAATCAACCTAAAGTCCATCAATGAATAAATGGGTAAAGGAAATGTGGGACATATATACAATGAAATATTATTTGTCATAAAAAAGAATGAAATCCTGCCATTTGCAAAAACATGGATGGAACTGCAGGACATTATTCATTATGTTAAGTGAACTAAGCCAGGCATGAAAAGAAAAACTTTGCATGTTCTCACTCATTTGTGAGAACTAAAAATTAAAACAATTCAACTCACCAACATAAAGAGTAGAATGAGGGTTATCAGACGCAGGGAAGGGTTGTGGGGGGAAGGATAAAGAGGTAATGGTTATTGAGCACAAATATACAGTTAGAAGGAACAAGAGGTAGTATTTGATAGTAGAACAGAGTGAATATAGTTAACAATAATTTATCGTGTATTTTTAAATAAAAAAAAGTGAAATTGGAATGTTCCTAACACAAGGAAATGAAAAATGCTTGAGGTGATGGGTACCCCAATTATGCCATTTGATCAATAGACATTGTATGCCTGCATCAAGACATCACATGTACCCCATAAATATGTATAACTATCATGTATCCATAATAATTAATAACAAATTTTATATTTAAAAAACAAAAACATCACATATACTCTATCAACATATAGAACTATTATGTACCCATAATTATTTCAAATAAAAATTTTAATTATTAAAAAATTAAATAAATTGTTTATAAAAAATCATTAAACAAACAAACTCACAAAAAAGCAATAGTAACCAATCCTGGGGAAGTGGGAAAATTTAATCTCCACAGTGAACACAGTATAATATTCAAAATGAATATTATTCCAAAAACATTTCCCCAAAGAAGATATACAAATCACACAAAAATACAAGAAAATATGTGTCATTCACAACAAAAAAGAAAATTAATAGAAACTGTCCCTGGACAAAATTAAGACATTGGACTCACTAGGAAGAGACTTCAAATAAACTGTTTTAAAAATGTTCAAAGAGCTAAAGAAAACCATGAGCAAAGACTAGAGGAAACCAGGCGAAAAATGTCTCACCAAACAGAAATTATCAATAAGAAATAGAAATTATAAAAAGGAACGAAGGATGCATGTGGTGACTCATGTCTGTAATCCCAGCACTTGGGGAGGCCAAGGTGGGAAGATCGCTTGCAACCAGGAGTTCAAGACCAGCCTGGGTAACATAGTGAGACACTGTATCTACAAAATTAAAAAATAAGAAATCAGGTGGGCATGGTGGTATGTGCCCGTAGTCCCAGCTACTTGGGAGGCTGAGGTGGGAGGATCACTTGAGCCTAGCAGATGGAGGCTGCAGTGAGCCATGATCGTGCCACTGAACTCAAGCCTGGGTGACAGAGTGAGACCCTGTCTCAAAAATGAACAACAACCAAAATAAATAAGTAATAAAAAAAGAACCAAATAAAAATTCTGAAGTTAAAAAGTATAACTGGAATGAAAATTTTACTATGAAGATTCAACAGTATATTTGAGCAGCGGAAAAAAAGAATCAATTGGGATTACTTTCTGTAGAGAAAAAAGAAAAAAATAATGAAGAAAAATGTTGGGGCAACTGGATATCCATATGCAAAAGGAGCTGGATCTGTTTCACTTATCATATGCAAAATTTAACTCAAACTCGTTCAAACATCTACCTCTAAGAGCTAACACTATAAAATTATTAGATGAAAAATAGAGGTTGGTCTTCATGAACATGAATTAGGAAATGATTTCTTAGATACAACACCAAAAGCACAAGGAACAAAATAAAAGATAGATAAATTGGATTCCATCAAAAACAAAAACTTCTATGCATCAAATGATGCAATCAAGGGAGTGAAAAGACATCCACAAGTGAGAGAAAATATTTGTTCATCATCTATCTGCAGTGGGTCTAGTACCCTCAATATATAAAGAACTCTTACAACTCAGTAACAAAAAGTTAATTACCTAATTAAAAGATGGGCTACAAGTAATTTCCAGTATGTAAATTATATCTCGATAAAGCTGTTTTTTAAAAAAAGAATCACATAAAGGTTACCAGCTTCTTACCAAATTTTTTTCAGTGGGCTAAGGAATGAATAAACATTTCTCCAAAAAAAGATACAGAAATGACCAACAAGCACACGAAAAAATGTTCAACATCATTTAGCCAACATGAAATGCAAATAAAAATTGTAACATACCACTTCACATCCACTAAGATGGTGACATTAAAAAAAGATAAAAGCAAGTGTTCATAAAGATATGGAAAGATTAGAACCCTTATATATTGCTGATGAGAATGCAAATTGGCTCAGCTACTGTTTAAAAACAGTTTGGTGAGTCCTCAGTAAGTTAAACACAGAATTCACTTATGACTCAGCAATTCCACTCCTGGGTATATACCCAAAAAAGTTCAAAACACATGTTCAAATGAAAAATTGTACATGAATGTCATAGCAGTACACTTCACAATAGACAAAAGATGGAAACCACACAAATATCTGTCAACGGATGAGTGGATAAACAAATGTGACATACACATTGTGAGTATGTGGCAACTATATAATGTGGCAACTATAAAATGGAATATTATTTTTCCATAAAAAGAAATGAAGTACTAATACATTCTATAATATGGATGAACCTAGAAGACATTATGTTAAGTGAAAGAAAATGGACATAAAAGACCACATATTGTATGATTCCATATATACAAAATATCCAGAATAGGTAAATCCATAGAGACAAAATGAAGATTAGCGTTCATGAGGGGTTTGAGAAAGAGGGGAATGGGGAGTAACTGCCTAATAGGTATGAGGTTTACTTTTGGGATGACAAAGTGTTCTGGAATCAGATAGTGGTGATGGTTGCACAACAATGTGAATGTATTAAATGTCACTGAAACGTACACTTTAAAATGGTTTAAAAAAGAATAATAATAAAACCTAAGAGACATGTGGAACATTTGCATAATGGGCGTTTCAGAGGAGGAGGAGAGAGAAAAGAGCAGAAAGAACATTTGAAGAACTAATGGCTGAAAATTTCCCAAATTTTAAGAAAGACACGACTCTATGAAACCAAGAAGTGCAACGAACTTCAAGTTTAATAAATTCAAATACATCCAGGCCAAGACACTTTATGATTACATTTTTGAAAGACAAAAACAAAAAATTTTGAAAGCAGCATGAGAGAAGCAACTTATCACATGCAAATGATCCTCAATAAGATTATCAGCTGAATTCTCACCAAAAACCTTAAAGAATGAAATCCCAGACCAGATGGCTTCACTAGAGAATTTACCATATATTAAAAAAAAAATAACTCCAATTCAACAAAATCTCTTTTCAAAAGGTGAATAGGAAAGAACAGTAATAAACGGATTTTATGAGGCCAGTATTGTCCTGGTTCCAAAAACCAAACAAGGGCAGTACAGAAAAAAAGGAATATTATAGGCAAATATCCTTCATGAATATAAACACAAAAATCCTCAAGAAAACATTAGCAAATTGAGTCCATCAAATATAAAACTAATTATACATCTTAATTAAGTAAGATTTATTCCAGTTATGCAAGGTCGGTTGAACATTTGACAATCAATTTAACCCACCATAACAACATGCCAAAGAGGCAAAACTATATAATGCAGAAATATCATTTCACAAAATCCAGTACCTATACATGATTTATAAAAACAACTTGCAGCAAACTAGGCATGGAAGAAAACTTGCTCAACTTTATAAAGAACGCCTGAAAAAAACGTTGAGCTGCATCATAGTTCATGGTGAAATGTTTCCTCCTAAAATCAAGGCGAAGGTGTCCGTTCTTACCACTTTTATTTAACACAATATTAGAAATCCTAACCAATACAATAAAGAAAAAAAAGGAAACAAAAAGCCTACAGAATGGAAGGAAAGACTTTAAACTGTCTCTGTTTGCAGATAACAATTCATTATGTAGAAAATCCCGAGGAATAAAAAAAAAATCTCCTACCAATAATGAGTTTGTCAAAGTCACAGGACACAAGATCAATATGCGAAAAAAAAATTTATTTCTATATACTAGCAACAGACTTACAAAGCAAAATAAAAAAAGCTATTCTCATTTAAATATTAAATGGTAAAAGCACTCTGGAAAATTGTTTGGCAGATTCTTAAAAACCACACATGCACCTACCATAAGACGTATCAATGTCATTCTTGGACATTCATCCCAAAGAAATGGAATTTTATGTACATACAAAAACCTGTACATGGATGTTCACACCACCTTTATTTTTAATAGGATCAAGCTGGACACAACGCAAAAATATTTTTACAGGTAAATAAACAGATTCTAGTACATTCATACTACAGAATACTACTTAGTAATGAAAAGGTACCAATTACTGGTATCAAGTACTGCTGCATGTATTGAAGTAACCTGAATGGAACTCAAGATCATCATGCTTAGTCAAAGTGTCATTCTTTCACCAAAGAAAATATACATATGATAAACAAGCATACGATAAGATTCTCGGCATCACATATCATTAGGGAATCGCAGATTAAAACAACAATGAAATACCACTTTCATCTATTACAGTGGCTAAATTCCAAAACATTGACAATACCAAATGCTGATGAGGATGTGGAACAACAGGAATTCTCGTACATTGCTGCTGGTAATGCAAAATGATACAACCAGTTTGGAAGACAGTCTGGCAGTTATTTACAAAACTAAACATACTTTTACCATATGATCCAGCAATAACACTCCTTGGTATTTATCCAAATGATTTGAAAGTTTATTTACAAGCAAAAGCCTACACAAAAATGTTTATAGCAGCTTTGCTCATAATTGCCAAAACTTGGAAGCAACCAAGATGACCTGTGACACATACAAACAATGCAATATTATTATTCACCACTAAAAAAAATGAGCTATCGAACCACCAAAAAAAAAAAAAAAACCATGGAGGAACCTTAAATGTATATTGCTAAGTGAAAGAAGCCAATCAGAAAAGGCTACAGACTGTATAGTGCTAATTATGACATTTTGGAAAATACTACATAAAGACTAAAAAGATTAGTGGTTGCCAAGGGCTTGGAGGAAAAGAGGGAGAGTTAAGTAGGTGGGCCACTGGGGATTGTTAGGGCAATGAAACTATTCTGTATTGGTGGATACAATGCATTATACATTTGTCAAAACCCACAGAACTGTGCAACACAGAGTGAACTCTAATGCAAACTATATACTTTAGTTAATAAAAATGTATCTAATATTCACTCATTCATAGTAACAACTGTACCACATCATGCAAGATGTTAATAATAGGGGAAACTCAGAGGGAGAGGAAGAAAAGAATATATAGGAACTCTGTACTTTCTCCTCAATTTTTCTGTAAACCTAAAACTACTCTAAAATATAAACCCTATTAATTT
Source organism: Homo sapiens (assembly GCF_000001405.40). Lineage (NCBI taxonomy): Eukaryota > Metazoa > Chordata > Mammalia > Primates > Hominidae > Homo > Homo sapiens. The sequence goes on from NC_000023.11 coordinate 152,415,345, forward strand.
TCTAAAAGCCAATTTTAAAAAAGTTACACAGTATATAATTACAATTATGTAATATTATCAAACTGACACAACCATAGAGATGGAGAACAGATTCATGGTTTCATGGAAAGAGACAGGGACGGATACTACTATAAAGGAGTAACATGAGGGGTTTTATATTTATGGTGATTGAACAGTTCTTTATCTTGATTGTGATGGGGATTACATAAATCTATACATGGGATTATATTGCATAGAACTATAGACATAGAGACACACAAAAAAGAGCACACATCAAACCATTCCTTTATTGTTGCAATATAATAATATTAATGAAGTCTATGGCATAGTTAACATTGTACTACCGTCATTATCAGAATTCCCATTGGGTGACTCTAAGTAAAAAGTTTATAGGTCTCTATGTACTTCCCATGAGTTTATTATTTGCGACTTCCCATGAGTTTATTATTTCAAAATAAAAAACATTTTAAAGGTAACATTAACTAGGGCTTTCTCTATTTCACTTAAAATGCCCAGCATTCAAACAGCAATTACCAATAATAAGATAAGACTCAGAAAGGAAAAGAAAATACTAGAAAAAGTCTCAGATGCAATCTATGTACTGTAATAATTGCATGGCCAATTAAATAATGATGATTCATTTTTTAAAAAAATAGACATAATGGAAATTTTCATACAATACTTAGGCAGGAGAAGGAAATAAAGGGTATTCAATTAGGAAAAGAGGAAGTCAAATTGTCCCTGTTTGCAGATGACATGATTGTATATCTAGAAAACCCCATTGTCTCAGCCCAAAATCTCCTTAAGCTGATAAGCAACTTCAGCAAAGTCTCAGGATACAAAATCAATGTACAAAAATCACAAGCATTCTTATACACCAGCAACAGACAAACAGAGAGCCAAATCATGAGTGAACTCCCATTCACAATTGCTTCAAAGAGAATAAAATACCTAGGAATCCAACTTACAAGGGATGTGAAGGACCTCTTCAAGGAGAACTACAAACCACTGCTCAAGGAAATAAAAGAGGATACAAACAAATGGAAGAACATTCCATGCTCATGGGTAGGAAGAATCAATATCGTGAAAATGGCCATACTGCCCAAGGTAATTTACAGATTCAATGCCATCCCTATCAAGCTACCAATGCCTTTCTTCACATAATTGGAAAAAACTACTTTAAAGTTCATATGGAACCAAAAAAGAGCCCGCATCGCCAAGTCAATCCTAAGCCAAAAGAACAAAGCTGGAGGCATCACACTACCTGACTTCAAACTATACTACAAGGCTACACAGTAACCAAAACAGCATGGTACTGGTACCAAAACAGAGATATAGATCAATGGAACAGAACAGAGCCCTCAGAAATAACACCACATATCTACAACTATCTGATCTTTGACAAACCTGAGAAAAACAAGAAATGGGGAAAGGATTCCCTGTTTAATAAATGGTGCTGGGAAAACTGGCTAGCCATATGTAGAAAGCTGAAACTGGATCCCTTCCTTACACCTTATACAAAAATCAATTCAAGATGGATTAAAGACTTAAACGTTAGACCTAAAACCATAAAAACCCTAGAAGAAAACCTAGGCTTTACCATTCAGGACATAGGCATGGGCAAGGACTTCATGTCTAAAACACCAAAAGCAATGGCAACAAAAGACAAAATTGACAAATGGGATCTAATTAAACTAAAGAGCTTCTGCACAGCAAAAGAAACTACCATCAGAGTGAACAGGCAACCTACAAAATGGGAGAAAATTTTCGCAACCTACTCATCTGACAAAGGGCTAATGTCCAGAATCTACAATGAACTCAAACAAATTTACAAGAAAACAACAAACAACTCCATCAAAAAGTGGGCGAAGGACATGAACAGACACTTCTCAAAAGAAGATTTTATGCAGCCAAAAAACACATGAAAAAATGCTCAACATCACTGGCCATCAGAGAAATGCAAATCAAAACCACAATGAGATACCACCTCACACCAGTTAGAATGGTGATCATTAAAAAGTCAGGAAACAACTGGTGCTGGAGAGGATGTGGAGAAATAGGAACACTTTTACACTGTTGGTGGGACTGTAAATTAGTTCAACCACTGTGGAAGTCAGTGTGGCGATTCCTCAGGGATCTAGAACTGGAAATACCATTTGACCCAGCCATCCCATTACTGGGTATATACCCAAAGGACTATAAATCATGCTGCTATAAAGACACATGCACACGTATGTTTATTGCGGCATTATTCACAATAGCAAAGACTTGGAACCAACCCAAATGTCCAACAATGATAGACTGGATTAAGAAAATGTGGCACATATACACCATGGAATACTATGCAGCCATAAAAAATGATGAGTTCATGTCCTTTGTAGGGACATGGATGAAGTTGGAAATCATCATTCTCAGTAAACTATCACAAGAACAAAAAACCAAACACCGCATATTCTCACTCATAGGTGGGAATTGAACAATGAGATCACATGGACACAGGAAGGGGAATATCACACTCCAGGGACTGTTGTGGGGTGGGGGGAGGGGGGAGGGATAGCACTGGGAGATATACCTAATGCTAGATGACGAGTTAGTGGGTGCAGTGCACCAGCATGGCACATGTATACATATGTAACTAACCTGCACAATGTGCACATGTACCCTAAAACTTAATGTATAATAAAAAAAAGAAGAAAAAAAAGAAAAAAAATGAAAAAATAGATATTATAGAATTAAATATGTCATAACTGGATTTCAGGATGTAATAACTGTAACTAATAGTACCGGCCATCAGATACCAGTAAAGATACATATGATTGCAACAAAATAATTAACAAACTTAACCTAAATGACATACTTAAAACATAACACCCAAAAGTGCAAGAATTGCATTTTTTGAAATACATATTTAACCTAAACAAAATTTACTGTTGAATGGGCCATGAAGCAGACCACACCAATTTCAAATGATTGGAGTCAAAATATATTCTCTGACCACAATTTAATTAAGTTAGAAAAAATTAATAACAAATAGAAAATCATCTCAATTTGGAAATTAAGCAAATTAATTCTAAATAAACCATGGTGCAAAGAAGAAATCCAAATTAAACCAGAAAACATCTTGTACTACCTGAAAATGAAAATATAGCAAATCAAAATTTCTGGGATACAACAGAGCCATTATCAGAGAGAAATTTATAGGCTTAGATACATGTATTTGAAAAGACGGAAGTATATAAATCTGTGATCTAATTATACATCTAAAATAGTAGAATAAAAGCAAGTTAAAACCGAAGAAAGTAGAAAGAACAAAATAACAAATATAAAATCAAAAATCAATGAAATAAAAAATCTGTAATAAAGAGGCCCAGCAAATACAAAAGTTGGTTGATTCCTCAGGGATCTAGAGCTAGAAATACCATTTGACCCAGCCATCCCATTACTGGGTATATACCCAAAGGATTATAAATCATGATGCTATAAAGGTGCATGCACACGTATGTTTATTGCGGCACTATTCACAATAGCAAAGACTTAGAACCAACCCAAATGTCCATCAATGATAGACTGGATTAAGAAAATGTGGCACATATACACCATGGAATACTATGCAGCCATAAAAAAGGATGAGCTCATGTCCTCTGTAGGCACATGGATGAAGCTGGAAACCATCATTCTCAGCAAACTACCGCAAGGACAAAAAACCAAACACCGCATGCTCTCACTCATAGGTGGGAATTGAACAATGAGAACACATGGACACAGGAAGGGGAACATCACACACCGGGGTCTGTTGTGGGGTGGGGGGTGCGGGGAGGGATAGCATTTGGAGATATACCTAATGTTAAATGACGAGTTACTGGGTTCTGCACACCAACATGGCACATGTACACATATGTAACAAACCTGCACGTTGTGCACATGTACCCTAAAACTTAAAGTATAATACAAAATAAAATAAAAAATAAATGTAACACACAAAAAAAGAAGAAAAAAGAAAATTAAAAGCCACCAGCAAGCCTGATGAATAACAAATGAAAAAATGAAAATAACCAAACAACTACTGTTAGGAATGGAAAGGAGGGCATCATTACAGATCCAATAGACACTAAAGAGAAAAGAGGTATCATATTTTTAAAATGGACTTTATGCCAAAAAACATGAAAATTTAGAAAAACGTATTTCTTTGAAAACATAACTTAAAACTGACAAAAGAAGGTAATAAAAACATCCCAATACTCCTATAACTCTTAAAGAAATTGAATCTATCACTAAAGACTTTCCCCCAAAGAAAACTTGAGTCCCAGATGGCATTACCAGTGAATTCCTCTCAACATTTAAAGAATAAATAGCATCAGTCTTACATAATATCTTCCAGAATGTAAAGAAAAAAAAATAGTTTTTCATCCCAATTCATTTTTCAAGCTAACATAACCTTAATCCCAAAACCTCACACAAACTTGACAGAAAAAAGAAAACTGACGGCCAATCTCACTTATAAATGTGGGTGCAAAAATTTTAAAACTCACACATATACACACACATGCATACACATAGTTCCCATCCTGTGTTGCAAAATAACACGAAGAGTAGGATTTATATAAAGAATAAAAGGCTGGTTTAACACTTGAAAATCAGTCAATGCAGTTCATCATATTAACAGAATAAAGGAGAAAAATATATGATCAACTCAATAGATGTAGAAAAAAAATCTGATAAAATTCAATACCCATTAATGATTTTTTAAAAAGTCTTTGCAAACTAAAAATGGAAACTTCTTAATCTGATAAAGGGTATTTTAAAAACTCTATAGTGAAAATCATACTTAATGGTGAAATAATGAGAAATTTCCCCCAAGGTCAGGAATGAAATAGAAGATGCCTATGATCTCTGCTTACGTTCAGCATTGTACTAGAGGTCTTAGGCAATACAATAAGGCAGGAAAAATATGAAATTTGTAAAAACTTAAAATCAAGAAATGAAAATTAAATTATTTGAAAAATTAATGAAACTACAGATAAATTAGTAGCATTAATAAATGGATTCATCAGTAACTCTGAGCACAAGATCAATATTCTAAAATTGATTATATTTTAAATACCACAAAAAAATTTAGAAAGTGATTTTTTTTACAAAGATACATTTAAAATAGCATCAAATAACACTAAAAAATAAAAACATAATAAATGGACAGATATATCATGTTCCCAAATTAGAACACTACAATTTGTAAAAATAATAATTATCCCAAAATTGACCATAGATTTTGTGCAATTGCAAAACAAATTCCAAGAGGTCCTTTACTGTCTGGGAATTGGCAATCCGATTCTAAAATTTAGAACGAAAAGGACAAAAGAGGGATTATACTACCAGATTAATTAATTGGTTAACTTTTGGATATCCACATAGAAATGAATAACTCTTGAATACTACCACACATCATACAAATAAATTAATTATATTGATTGATATGGTTTGGCTCTGTGTCCCCAAACAAATCTCACCTCAATTATAATCCCCATAATTCTCACGTGTCAAGGTCGGGACCAGGTGGAGATAGTGGATCCTGTCGCCCTGTGAAAAAGGTGCCTGCTTCTCCTTTACCTTCCACCATGATTGTAAGTTTCCTGAGGCCTCCCCAGCAATGCGGAACTGTGAGTCAATTAAACCTCTTTCCTTTATAAATTACCCAGTCTTGGGTATTTCTTCATAGCAGAGTGAGAATGGACTAACACACTGATATTTACACATTATACACACACACACACACACACACACACACACACACAAGGCACCTATATATACAATTAATATATACCTTTCGTTATATAGGTACAGTAAGTCCTCACCTTAATGTTGTCAGTAGGTTCTTGGAAACTGCAATTTTCAAGGAAACAACATACTGTAAGCCATAGAAATTTACTCGTTTATATCAATTAGCTTATGGTAAAATTGGTTTTGTTATATAGTATGCTGTTTCCATGAAAGTCATAGTTTCCAAGAACCTACTGATGCCATTAAGTGAAGACTTACTGTATATATATCCTTAAATATATACGTGTGTGTTTGTATAATGTAAAACAATAAAGCTTCTAGAGGATAACATAGGATAATATCTTCATGATACTGAGGTAGGCAAGTATTTCTTAAATGGAACTAAAAAGTATTAACCATAAAGTAAAAGTCTGATCAACTAGACTAAATTAAAATTAAGAATATCTGTTCATCAAAAGACAATACAAATAAGAGTGAAAAGGCAAGCCCCATGGGGTGGGAAAAGATAACATGCAATACATATATTTGACAGAGGACTAGTATTCAGAATATAAAGAATTATAAATCAGTAAAAAGCAAATGGTGACAATTGAATAGACTAATGAACAAATTATTTGAATAAACTTTTCAAAAAATGTTTAAGAACATCCAAATGGCAAATAGCATATGAAATTATGATCAATCTCAAAAGTCATCAGGGAAATGTAAATCTAAATTACTATGATAAGATACCAAAACAAGCATATTATAATATCTAAAATTTAAATGTATAACAGTAGTAATTGGTGGGCAGGATGGAGAGCCATAAGATCTTTCATACACTGCCAGTGGATGTGTAAATCTGAACAAAAACTTTGGAAACTTCTTGGCAGTATCTAATAAGTTGAAAATATGCATACCCTATGACCCCAAAATTCTCATCTTAGTTATACAGACAACAAAATGTGGACATGTGTTCAGCAAAAGAAATGTATACAAATGTTTTATTGCAACATTACTTATAATAGTATCAAACGAGATAAAACTTAAATGTCCATCAACAGTAGGAGGGATATATAATTGTGGTATATTTATAGAAGAGACTACTACATAGCACTAAAAATTAATGAACTATAGCTTTTGCAACAACGTGGATGAATCTCAAAATCATGTTGAATAAAACAAGCCATACACAAGAAAGTACATACTGGAGTATAAAGAATATTATTCGACTTATATAAAGTTTAAAAACAAGTGAAACTACTATAAGAAATCAGGGTATTAGTTATCTTTGTGGGGGGAGTATGGACAATGGCCAAGAAAGACATAAAGAGATGGTTCTGGTGTGTTAATTTTTTTTTTATTTTCTGACCCTGATAGTGGTTACATTTAACAAAAATTCATTGCGCTGTACAATTAGGATTTTGCATTTTTTCCATATATGCTATACTTCAATTTAGAAAGTTTTCTTTAAACAAAACATCTATTGAAAAGAAGACCCGAGTAAATGGAAATATAGCACGTTTCTGACTGGAGAGAGCGAAATATTTTATAGATACTAGTGGTTTCAAGATTTTCTATAATGTAATGTACTTCTAATAAAATTCCCAACACAATATTCTTAAAGATTGAGGAAATGTTGCTCAAAGGATACAACATTTCAGTTCAACGGTAGGAATGAACTTAAGAGATCTATTATACAACATGGTGACAATAGTCCATGACAATCTATTGTATATTTGAAACTCGCTAGAAGAGTAGATTTCAAGCAATCTCACCAAAAGGATGTGAGGTAATGGTAATACATATGTTAATAAATATGTCTATTTAGACATTCCACAATGTATACATATTTCAAAACATCATGTTGTATGCCATAAATATGTACATTTTTCATTTGTCAATTAAAATAAATTAAAAACTTGTCAAGCTTAAGGTTTATAAGAAAATGCTTGTAATTATATTTTGAAAAATGCTATGAGAAGATATTTCATCTAATAATGAACAACAAATACTATAAAACTAAAGAAATGAAGCATTGTAGTACTAGAATATTTGTGTGTCATGATGTGTATGCACCAAAACACTGGTGATAGGTGTTGCCTCCTCACAGGGGAACTTGTTGACACTTGGGCACAAATGGTAAAGAGATTTACTTTTCACTGTAGACATCTTTGTACTTAATTATGACCCTTGCGCATGAATTAGTTATTTTAACAAACCTGACAAATTTAAAGTTTGGTACTGAGGTAAAAATAGAAAAAGAATAAGTGAAATTAAATCAAGGGTTCCAGGAATAGATTCATATGTATACAGGAATTTAGTGTAGGATGAAAGAACAATTTATGACCAATGAGGAAATTATGAAGTATTCAATAAGTTGCACTGGACAAATGTATCCTTTTAGAAAATAAAGTTAGGCTTTTATGCACAATGGAATAAAATGCTACTAAATGTGAACAACAAATACTGAATATATTAAAATATTTAGGAGCATATTTTTATGAACTTGGGAAAGATGAAGATATTTCTGTACACTTTAATTTTACACTTCTCTGTAACAAAAAAATCAATAATGTTTGAGCTAAGCAACAGACTAGGGTTTAGAAGAAAATATCAACATTCCTGATATATGAGGAGCTAATATGAATCAGTAATTAAAACATCAAAGAAAATACAAAATTGAAGAAAGGATGTGGACAAATAATTACCAAGGATATTGGTATTACAATTGGATTACAAATGGAATATACAAATGGATAACAAATGTAATATTACATTTGGATATTACAAATGGATAACAAATGTAAAAATATATTCAACCTCAATAGCAATCATAAAAATACACACTAAAACAATATTTTAAAACTGTGGGAAGATAACTAATATATTAATTTGAAAGTTAGCTATTTTAGGGTTGTGGGAAAAGAACATGATTCATAGGGATTGTAATAAGAACAATTTTTGTATTGTGTATCTTTATTTTTCATTTTATTTTTGAACTGTGTGATTGAATTAATTTTCTCTAGATCCCAGCATTCTCCCAAAATCAAATAATCTTCCATCATTCCCTATCTCAGTGAACAGTACCATCATCTACCCAACTGCAGAATCAGAAACCGACAAGTCATCTTTCACATCTCCCTTTCCAACAGCCCCCATGTCTATTTCGTCTAACTTTTTATCAATTTTACCCCCTAACACCCCCTCAAAAACATTTATTTCTCTTCACATTGTTCACCACAACACTAGTTCAAGCCATTACAAACTCACTCTTGGCCACTGCTAAAGCCTCAATCACACAATAACTAAGCATCTACTTTGTATATGACACTGTGCTAACTGGTTTTCTGGAATCTACTGTTGTCTCCTTCTAATCCATCCTACACAGTAGCCAAGTTTAGCATTTCATAACCTGATTTGTCAGCAGCTCCCCCACCACTTGAAATGCTTCAATGGCTTCAAGAGTAATCTTAAAAATAATGAAAATTATTAGCATAGGCAAAACTTAACATTGTACATCTAAATGATGTCAGGCCAATTTTCCCCTACCCCACCCCAAAGTAGCTGCCATCACCATCGCCAGCTACCCTGGTATAAGCTGTTTTTATCATTCATCTTCACTACTATAATATGCTTTTGGTGTGCCCACAGTGGTTTTATTTAAATGTTTTCTTTGTTTTTACTTTTTGTTTGGCAATAATTTCAAACTTCCAAACGAATTCCAGAAATAGAACATACTCTTTGTCCATATGCACAATTTCTTAACATTTGTCACATTGTATCTGTATACTTGCAAATACTTCATTGTATATTTTCTTTTTCTTTTCTTTTTTTTTTTTTTTTTTTTTTTTTACAGGGTGTCATTCTGCCACCCGGGCTGGAATGAAGTGGCACAATCATGGCTCATTGCAGCCTTGACCTCCCAGGCCCAGGCTCAAGCAACTCTCCCACCTCTGCCTCCTGAGTAGCTGAGGCTACAATATGCTCCATCATGCTCAGCTAAGGTTTTTTTTTTTGTAGAGACAGAATCTTGTTACGTTGCCTAGGTTGGTATCAAACTCCTGGACTCAAGCAATTACCTACCTCAGCCTGCCAAAGTGCTGGGATTACAGGTGTAAGCCACCATGCCTGGCTTGTATTTTTCTAAAGAACAATATCACACTTGTATATAACCCACTTATATACAATTACCAAAATCAATAAACTTATCATTGATACAACACTGTCATCTAATCTAGAATCCATATGTACGTTTCAACAATTGTCCCAATAACGCTCTCTATAGTGATTTTTACCCGTCTAGGTAAATGTGTGATCCAATGTAGGATCACACCTTTGGTTATCATATCTCTTTAGTCTCCTTTAGTCTGGAACATTTCCCCAATTTTTCTTTGTCTTTCATGAAAATGAAATTTTTAAAGAGAAAAGATCAGAATGTCCCTCAATCTGAGTTTGCCTGACGTTTTCTCATGATTAAACTAGGGTTATGGGTTCGGGGAAAGAACACTATCTAAGTAATATTGTGCCCTTAGTGCATCACATCAGGAGACACATGATTGTTTTTTATGTTGTGATGTGATGTTTGATCAGTTGGCTAAAGTGGTGACTTTCAACTTCTGTCCTGGTTTCTGCTTGTACTCTCGCACCTGGAGGAGAGCTGTCCTTATCTGCTTATCTATTCCTACTCTGTCCCCTTTCCCTGATGTACTTCTTGAATAAAATATGTTTCTTCTTATCTCAGAGCCCATGTGTAGGCCCAGAAAACTCTTCCTCATCTCAATTTGCATGGCAGGCTCCTTTTCATCCTGTAGGTCCAGGTTAAATAGTATCTTTTTAGAAATCCCATCTCCTTTGCTTTCCACGAACACAGAACTTTGTGTGTTTTCTTCCTATGACTTCTTATAATTCCCAATTATTTATTTATGTAATTAAAATTATAATGTCTGTCTTCCCCTACTAAACTATAATTGTGGAAATGAGGAGCTAGTATTATTTAATGCCATCCAAGAAAGGTCAGATTCTCTCCCTTAACTCAGAATCTGGCATTTTAAGACACAGCTAAGAGTAAAGGAAACACTTTTGAGTCACACAGAAACCAAGTTCAAATCCCAGATCAGAATAACTGCATATGACCTTGGACTTCCTCATATGCGAATAGTGGATACCATCACCTACCTCACTGGGTGGGTAGGATTATATTCTTGTAAAACAAACTAGAATCATGTTTAGTATGTAAAGGAAGCTGCACAAGTGATAGATAGGGTTAATCTTCTTTCTGGATTAAGAGATATCCAGTCTTCATAAGAAGCACTCTTACAATCATACTGCTTAGTTTGCTATGTATTCACAAGTACAGGTGAATTGATTAACTTGCAAGAGTTAGTTGCAAGTCTCTAACAGTCAACACTTCATACTCAATTCTACTCTAGATCCAACCCTGTGGTGGGCATGGTGAGATTCTATCTCACTTCTAAGAATTCCCTTGATGAAAATCAGTTTCTCCAAACAGGTAGGTATACCTCCGCTGTACTTTCTCTGTCACTTCCTTTCTCCGTACTTTCTTCGTTGCATTCCTTATTCGAAGTGGTTTAGCATTAGTTGTTTCTATGTGTCTGAGTTTATCTCCCACTAGATTTTGGCAGAATAATAATAATAGAAAAATGATAAGAGCAAATATATCTCTAACACTTAACTATCATATTTCATCTAAGTTGCCACAAATTTTCAGATACAACAATATTTTTTATGCCACTAGCACATTAAATGTGCTGCCAAATAAACAATGATATGTCATTGATAGCTAAGAGTCATACTTATTTGGGAAATATTAAAATATGGGAAGAGACTGGGCTTCTTAAAATTGTTGAAACATGATCTGTGTTAGGCACTGTTCTAAGCACTTTATATTTATTAAGTTATTTAACCCTCACAATAACCCAATACGGCAGGTATGTTATGCTGCCTCCTCATTACTGTTCTCCATCTCCTTTGGCACCACCATAGATGAAGTCATCATTATTATCTCTCACACCTAATTCTCCCTCTATAGCTACTTTTGACTTCTTTGACAATAAATCCATTGCCTGCTGCCAGAATCAGCTTTGAAACCTGCAAATCTGACTATGTCATTCCCTGTTTAAAGTCCTTTAATGACTCCTCTATGACCTTGGAATAAGGCCCAAACACTGCATTGTACTCTGTATCTCTATTTTCACATCTCATTCTGTACACTCCAGCCATACTGACCTTCTCTTACTTCCTAGAATGCAGCATGAATTTTGCCATTATCAGGGCCTTCATGCAACCTTTTCCCTCTCCCTGGAATATTCTTACCCATCTCTCTCCCTATCACTACTGAAATGGCAAACAGCTATAGATCTTTACATTCTAAGCTTGAACATTACTTCATTAAAGAAAATTTACCTGTCATGTTCCCCACTAACCTAGGTCTGCTTTTTAATTTCTTTATAACACTTTCTGCTACTTTTCCACAGCATTCGGCTCACCGGAAAATTACTTTTTCAAAGTATGCCTTCCCTTTTAGATTGCGAACTCCAAAAAAGCAGGGGCCAGGTCTATCTGAGTCACCATTATATCCTTAACTTCTAGCACAGTCAGCTGATATATTTCATATACTCAATAAATAGATGCTAAAATGAAAGCTAAAACTTTCTGTTTCTCACCAAGAAAACAACGAATGCCCAAGGAAGAGGTTCATGAAGTGGAATTTGAATTTATCTGAGTTCTGCAGAGATCAATAACACAAGAGATCTAATAAGCAAACACTGAATTTGTCAGCTCTGGCCACAACATCTACAGCCAAATCCTGGCTGGCGCTTCAGCACACCAAAACATCTGGAGAGCTGTCACCCATCCATATATATTGCTTATATTACCCTAAACATCTTTTTATGAGAATACAGGTAATAGCTAAAAGTATTCTTGTACTTGCCCCTGCAATGTACTTGGCAAAGCAATGACGCCACTTAGAGATTCACAGACCTACCAATTAGATACAATAATTTAAGAAGTAAATCACCAAGGAAGGAGAGACACCCTGTCTCATTTGTATAATCTCCGCAGGCTGCTGGCCCAATATACAACTGGCCCCGTCCTAACAGTGCACTGACTCATAGTCCCTTCTAACTCAGCACCCAGATTCCAAAACATGCACCCTGCAGACAGTGATTCAGAGCCCTGGCTGCTATGCGGTGGCGTCCCTCCTCTCATCCAAAGAGCTACTCTCAATAGTAGTCCCTGGGGCTGCAGTCAGACAGATGAAGCTGTACGCTAAAGAGTAACTGCAGATTTGTAGTTTGTCCCCAGGGTACAGGAGCTATAAACAGGAATGTGCAATGTGCATAGTTCAGGCAACCTGCCTTTATCTAAAAGTGGAGAATCTGCAGACTAGACACAAAAACAGAGGAAGGTTGCATTAATATATACCAATTTCAGCCTCCAGCCCCCACTGAGCATATAACCAGGAGCATTGTTGTAGCATAGATACTGCCCAGGATCCCCAAATGCTTGTGGAAACTGTGTCATTTATAGATTCCTAAACAGGCACTCAGAAAGCAGGAGGCAATCACTCCACAAGTAAAGATGACAGTGAGTTCTAAAATTGAGTATTTACTTATTTCTGCTTGGGTGTTAATGCAGCTGGAATGCCACTTGTACAATGAGATACTTTTTTTGCAAACATTTGGCAAGCATACACCCACTACTCAAGAGCAAGAGAGGTTTTTTCTCAAGTTAGTCCCAGCTGAAAACTGAGAAAGATGGATTGAAAGCAAGCCAGAAATTGAAGAAAAACAATAGACCACTGAAAATGAAGAATGCACTTAATGGGTCACCAATGTGGAAAGCAAAGAAAGAAAATGGAGTGACTGATTATGGGATCCCAGCACAAGAACACAGCCAAGCCCTTGTGTCACTGGAATAAAGCAGAAGATTGGAGATTAAATATGAAAGAATTGAATTAAAAGAGAGGTAAGAACGATATCTGAGTCCCCATAGGTGAGTGAGACAGGTCAGGAAAACTGGTAGGAAATAAATTTAAAGAAGGAAATGCAGGGAAAAGTACAAGTTCAGCCAGACTTCCTAGTGTTTGCTAAATATTCCTTCCACTACTTCTATTAATCTACCTCCAATATACCTCTCAAACCCATGGTCTCTCTCTCCCTCCCTCCCTCCCTCTCTTTCTCCAGATTACCATTTTAGCCAAAGCAGCATTACTGGCCTCACATTCACTTCAGCCGCCCTTCTGCAGCATTAACCTATTCTTCACACAGCAACCAGAGGGGGCCATAAAAATGCGAATCAGATTGCTTTACTCCCTTGCTTAAAACTATTCAAAGGCTCCCTACTGCTCTTGAGGGAAAGACTAAACTCCTGAATTTGACCTACAAGGTCCTTTAAGATCTAGCCAAATCACGCCTTCCCACCTTAGAGATGACCTCAAACCATGGCAAAACCTCCATTGGCTCCATTCACCCCTCCTGAAACAATCAGAAACATTGTCTTCAACCTAAAAATAGTTGTTTTGTCATCTAATTTTCCTATTTCCATTTAAAGTTCAAACATCAATCTGGCAACCACAACTTCTTCACACTCCTGTCTTCTCTTCTTCCTGTCTGTCACAATAAGACTCTCCTCCTGAGGTAACCATTGCCACTCACCTGACCTACAAAACTTCCTTTGATACCAATGGGGGCCCTAGGTTTAGGCAAGTCCAATGTTCCTGATCCCAGAGTCAAAAACACCTGTCTGCTTAACCTAACCTGAGTGGATCCATATCTCTGTTGCTTCACAACATAGACTGATACTCAGATATGTGAATGTTGCAATCTATGATTACAGATTAAGTATAGAAAACTAATCATAGAGAATTCTTCATAACTAAGTTCCCAAATGTTGAGTAGCCATTATTTGAAGGAGAATTTATTATCCATCTAAAAATCCTGAAGGATTATCATGTCAAGCTAGTAATTTGAGTTCACACAGGAAAAAAATCCCCCTCTCTCAGCTTCAAACATAGAATATAGTGATGACAACTAAATCATAAAACATACATTAAAAAATAAAAACACAACCACAACTGTTAAAGAAAAAATAAAATATGTCCATGCAGCTGAAACAGAAAAATGAACTCAGCAATAGGCTGGGGATGGGGTTGGAGAGAATAAAACCACTTACCCACTGGGAAACAGGAAGAGGCAGCCAGAAGTTCAAGTACTGTGGGGTAACATAAACCAATAATATTGAATATATGGTAGGGTAGCAAAGCTAGATCACTGCAGGAAACCAGACGATGAGGCAGGGAACTCCTAGGCAGAATAACTCTAAAAATGCTATGACCAGCCCAGGAAGCTGAGACTGGCAACTGGGGTGTTGCCCAGGTAGGCAGTAGAGATAGTTATGCAACTAAGACTTGCATCACGCCAAGCACTGCCTCAAAAACTTGACCTTTGATATCTTCAAGGAATAAAAGCCCCAAACTGACAACATAAAAAGTGGTTCTGAACTAGGGACTGATCACAGTATTGCATCTATGAAAAAAGGACAAGTTGCCATAAAAAAAGGAAATTCAAAGGATATATATTTTTAAATCATTACAGTGTAAAATCATAATACGGGAAATGCAAAACTCTATAGAAGTGTGGGGAGATAAAGTTGAAGATATCTTCCAAAATATACAGCATTTAGACAATGAGATGGACAATAGAAAATGTAAGAAAATAATAAAATCAGCCTAGTAGGGCCAATATTAAAATAGTAGGAGGGAAAGGGAAAGAGATACAGATAGGGACAACGAGCTAGTGTGAGAATGAGTAAATGAGAGGGAAAGAAAGAATAGCAATGAAATAATTCAAAAAAAAATCCCATAGGCTTTTTTTGAAAGTCAACTGAATATCAGCACAATGGATGAAAATAGATCCACAAGAACCTACAACAGTGTTAGAACACAACAGATGAAAAGAATATCCTACATGTTTCAAGAGAAAGAAAGACGAAATTGAGCACAGATGTTCAAGAATAATTTCAGATTTCCTAGCAGATACTCTGGAAGCTAGAAGGTAGTGGAGCAATGTTTTCAACTCAAGAGAAACAGGAAGGAAATCTAAGGATAGTGATGGAGATTCCAGGATGATATCTATGAACAAAGCAGAGAGAGAAGCCAGTCCAAATTTTAATAGGGGAAAAGAGTAAAGAAACAATTTCAATAAGAAGATAAAACTAATAAAATATCTTTTATGTCTGCATTTACTGAGAAAACATGTCAACACTGGAAGAGAGTTTGAGCTTGAAGTAGTGATAAGTAGTACATAAATGATAAGCACATTTTAAAAAGACAATTATTCCAGTGAAAACTAAACTTTGCACAGAAAATGAAAAGTAATGCTCTTATATATGGTAGGCAGAATAATGGCCTTCCAAAGATGTGAATGTCCTAATCCCCAGAACCTGTAAGCATGTTATGCTACTGGACAAAAAGTGATTAAATAGCAGATGGAATGAAGGATGCTAATTAGTTAACCTTATAATAGATTATTTGGATTATCTGAGTAAACACAATGTAATCACAAGGGTCCTTAAAAGTGGAAGTGGGAGGGAGAAGAGTCAGAAGTGGGAGGCAGAAAAGTCAGTGTCAGAGTGATACGATGTGAAAACGACTTGCCTGGTCATTGCTGACTTTGAAGATGGGGGAAGGGACCAGGAGCAAAGGAATGCAGGAAGTCTCTAGAAGCCGGAAAAGTCAAGAAAACAAGTTCTCCTCAGAGCTTCCAAAAAGGAACACAGCCCTGCCAATGTCTTGATTTTAGCCCTGGAAAACCTGCAAAACTATTTAAAAACTAAAACTGTGTTGTTTTCAGTCACTAAGTTTGTGGTAATTTGTTACAGCAGCAATGGTAAACTAATACAACATGTTATCTGGCTCAGCTGTAAGTGGCACTGATATGGTCATAATAACATAAACAAAAAATTAAATCGAAGTTATACTGAAATTAAAAGAGTATGGGGATGGGAGAAGAAACTTATATATGTTGTACAAGTAGGGCAGATTTCAAAGAATCTGAACACTTATCTTCCAGAGTAGGAAATTAATAAATTTGCATAAACATTTTAAATTAAGATGGATCAGTATATGCATGTTATTTAGAAATACGGTATAAATACCAAAAGAATAATCTGAAATGGTGGAACACGGTTGCTTCTAGGAAGCTGGGCAGGGATCTGCTGTTGTTTTTAACAAATCTTGGAGAAATATTTGATTTTAAATTAAGACCTCATATACTTTTAACAAAAAGCAAACTTTAAAAAAAAATCATATGCTTTCAACAAAAAACAAAACTTGTTCAAAATCATAAAAGAATATTATGAACAACTTTAGCCATTACGTTCAAAAACTGAAGAAATTGACAATTCCCTAGGAAAACAAATAGCAAATAGCAAACAAAAAACAAAACTAAATGGATTAGAACAGAAATTGAACCAGGAGGCTAAACATCAAATCTCCCTCCTAACACTCTGCATACAATAAAAAAAGAATGGGATCACACCAGGATCTAAAATCAGTTTTATTAAACTAATAAAAAATAATTAATTCTTATCTTCTGCAAACAGTTCCAGAAACTGGAAAAAGATGAAAGCTATAAAAACTACCTTTTAGCTTAATGCAATATTCTTATCAAAATTGAACAGTATTGGTAATATCAACCTAAGAACCTAGATACAGTTTTTTAAAGGGAAAACAAATAAATCTAGCCACATATGATCTGTAATCAAGCAGATTTTTCTCTGAAATGAAAGGAGAGCTTAATATTGAATAACCTATCAGTGCAATTCACAGTTCCAAAAAAGATGAAGGAGAGAAAAGGAGTTGAATTACCACTAGTAATTTTTTAAAATAGATTAACATATTATAAAAAAAAGAAGTATAGGAGCATCTCAACAGATGAAGAAAAAAATCATGCAATGAAATTTTCCTCTCATTCATGGTAGAAATCTTAGCAAATTAGAAATACAATGAAACTTATTTTATTTGATGAATAATATCTACCAAAAAACCTAGAGGAAATACCATACACAATGGAGACACATTAGAAACAATCTCACTCAAGTCAGAAACAAGACAAAGACTGCCCCATGCCTATCAGTAACCAATGTTTTATTGTGTATCTTAGCCAAAATAACAAGAAAAGAAATAATACCTTAACATAAGGATCTTAAAAGGAGGGCAAAATCGTTTTCATTTGTAGGAGAAATGAAAAAAATTCAAAAGAATCAACAAATTATAAGAATGAATAAGAATTTTCAAGAATACTAGATGCAAGACCAACTTACAGATATCAATTAGAAAATATAATAGAAAAAACAGCCACAAAACAAAAATATGATTATCAAAAACTATGTAATGTAGCTTAAAAAGTGCAGATAGGGGTAGTTACAGCATTAAATCTTATATTAGATAAGAAAAACTCAATGGTTTAAAATTCCACTTTAAGACACATGAAAATGAAGAGCAAATTAAACTCAAAGCAAACAAAAGGAAGGAAATAATAAAAATAAGAGCAGAATTCAATGAAATAGAATGAAGGAAGACCAAAAAAAAAAAAAAAAATCAATGAAACTAAGAGCTGGTTCTTTGAAAAGATCAATAAAAGTAGTAAACTTTTACACAGATAATGAGAAAAAAAAAGAAAACAAAAATTAACATTTATTAGAAATGAAGACAAGTGGGTCACTACAGATCTTACAAAAATTAAAAGGATAATAAGAAAATATAACAAATTTATGGAAATGAATTTAATAATGTAGATGAAACAGGCAGAATATTTGCAAGACATAATATCAGCTCTCACTTGAGAAGAAATAGATAATCTATAGCTTTTTATCTATTAAATATATTAAATGTATAAATTCACAGTTAAAAACCTTGGCTCAACTGGTGAATTACACCAAGTGTGATGGTCAATACTGAGTGTCAACTTGATTGTATTGAAGGATGCAAAGTATTGATCCTGGGTGTATCTGTGAGGGTGTTGCCAAAGGAGATTAACATTTGAGTCAGCGGGCTGGGGAAGTCAGACCCACCTTTAATCTAGTGGGCACAATCTAATCAGCTGCCAACGAATGTAAAGCAGGCAGAAAAACATTAAGAAGCGAGACTAGCCTAGCCTCGCAGCCTACATCTTTCTCCCATGCTGGATGCTTCCTGCCCTCAAACATAGGACTCCAAGTTCTTCAGTTTTGAGACTCGGACTGACTCTCCTTGTTCCTCAAGCTTGCAGACAGCCTATTGTGGGACCTTGTAATCATGGAAGTTAATACTTAATAAACTCCCCCTCTGACTAATACACCAAGTACTTAAGGAAGAAAGAATACTAATTCTACACAAGCTGTTTCACAAAAGACGGAAAAAACACTTCCCACCTCATTTTATGAGACTAGAGTGACTCTTTTCCAAAACCAAATAAATGCATTATAAGAAAAGAAAATTAAAGACCAATATATCTAATGAATGCAGACACAAAAAAAACTGTAAATAAAAATAAGCCGAGATATATATAACAAGAATAATACATCATGACCAAATAGAATGGTTCTATGGGAAATGGTAGAATGGTTCAACACTTAAAAGTCAATCACTGTAATTCACCATAGCAATAGACTTAGAAAGATCATTTCAATAGATACATAAAAAGCATTTTAAAAAATTCAAGATCATCAGCATACATTCATGATAAAAATCCCTCACCAAACTATGGATAGAAGGGAACTCCCTCAAACTTATAAATGGTATGTGATAAAAATCCAAAGATGGCACCACAGTTAATGGCGAAAGACTGAATATTTCCTGCAATAAAATGAAGATCAAGGCAAGGAGATCTGCTGTACACTTCCATTCAACATTCTACTAGAGGTCCTATCCAGTTAAAATACAGTAAAAATAAAATAAAATAATATAAATACAGCAAGAAAAAAAGATATGATTTGGAAAATAGGAATTAAAACTGTGTTTACTACCAGACAGCATACTCATCTGTGTAGAAATTAGTTCAGCCACTGTGGAAGACAGAGTGGCAATTCCTCAAGGATCTAGAACTAGAAATACCATTTGACCCAGCAATCCCATTACTGAGTATATACCCAAAGGATTATAAATCACTCTACTATAAAGGTGCATGCACACGTTTGTTTATTGCGGCACTGTTCACAATAGCAAAGACTTGGTACCAACCCAAATGCCCAGCAGTGATAGACTGGATGAAGAAAATGTGGCACATATACACCAGGGAATACTATGCGGCCATAACAAAGGGTGAGTTCATGTCCTTTGCAGGGACATGGATGAAGCTGGAAACCATCATTCTCAGCAAACTAACACAAGAACAGAAAACCAAACATCACATGTTCTCACTCATAAGGGGGAGTTGAACAATGAGAACACATGGACATAGGGAGGGGAACATCACACACTGGGGCCTGTCAGGGGGTGGGGGGCTAGGGGAGGGATAGCATTAGGAGAAATACCTAATGCAGATGACAGGTTGATGGATGCAGCAAACTTCATGGCACATGTATACCTATGTAACAAACCTGCACATTCTGCACATGTGCCCCAGAACTTAAAGTAAAGGAATAATAATAAAATACAGAAAATACCAAGAATCTAAAAACAAACAAAACAACTACTAGAACTAGTAATTAAGTTTTATAAGTTCATAAGATACAATATCAATAGACAAAAATTAATTGTATTGCTATGCACTAATAATAAATATCAGAAGTTAAAATTTATAAATTACCATTTATAATAGCATCAAAAAGCATGTATTACTTAAGATAAATTTCACAAAATATATGCAAGATCTATACACTGAAATATACAAAACATTGTTAAGATAATTTAAAGAAGAAATAAACAATAAAACGTTATACCATCTTAATGTATCAGGAGACTCAAGGTAGTTAAGATGTCATTTCTTCCCAAATTGACCTAAAGATTTAACTCAATCCCAATAAATCTTTCAGTAGCATTTTTGGAGGAGAAAGGGAAAAGCTGGCTGATCAATTTATCTGGAAATACAAAGGACCTAGGATAGCCAAAGACAGTTTTTAATTGTTTTTCAAAAATAATTTTTAAATGAAGAACAAAGTTAAAGGATCCACAATGCTTTACTTCAAGATTTACGAAAATGCTATTGCAGTTTCTCAACCTCAACAATATTAACATTTTGGGGCAGAGCAATACTTTATTGTTTGGGTAGCTGCCTGGCCTCTACCCACAATATGCCAGGAGCATGTCCCTCCATTTGTGGTAACCAAAAATGTCTCCAGACATTGCCAAATGTCCCTGGGGGGAATATTGCCCCAGTTGGGAACCACTGAATTATAATAATTGATGCAGCATGTTAGTTTCAAGGTTACACAAACAGATCAAATAAACAGAATAGAGTCCAGAAGTAGATCCATCCATACACAGTCAGTTGATTTTGGACAAGGGTGCCAAGGTAATTCAATGGGCAAAACATACTCTTGTCAACAAATGGGGCTGGAAAAACTGGACATACATAAGGAAAAATATATTGTATATGCCTGGAACATTACCTTGCTCCAAAGGCAAAAGTCATCTAAACATGCACCAAAGACATAAATCAAAGAACAGAAACTACAAAACTCTAGAACAAAACAAGAGAGAATTATTTTGAACTTAATTAATGCAAAGACTTCTTAGAATGCAAAAGGTACAAGTCATAATAGAAAACCCATTAAGAAAATGAAAAGACAAGCCACAGAAGGGCAGAAAATATTTCCAAAACACATATCTTCTAAAGAATTTGTATTATATTTAATATTATATATTGTATTATAGAATGACCCAATAATAAGAACACAAATATCCCAATTTTAAAATGGGCAAACGATTTGAATGGACATTTCTCCAAATGAGATACACAGATGGCTAATAAGCACATGAGAAAATGTTCAGTATCATTAGTCATAGGAAAATGCAAATTAAACCACAATGAGCTACCACTACGCACTCACGGGAAAGACTGACAAGGCAGGATACAAGACTAATCTTCAAAAGTCAATAGCATTCCTATATACTAGCAATGAACAACTGGAATTTGAAATGTAAAATGCACTATTTATGTTACCACCAAAATCTGAAATGCTTAGGTATAAATCTAACAAAATATGTATATGATATCTTTAAGGAGACTATAAAACTCTGATAAGAGAAATCAAAGAAGATCTAAATACATGGAGAAATATTCCATGGTCATGAATAGGAAGACTCAGTATTGTTGGATAGGAAGATTCATTATTGGTAAGGTCAGTTCTTCTCAACTGATATATACATTCAATGCAGTCCCAACCAAAATCCCAACAATTTATTTTCTAGATATCAATAAACAGATGCTGAAGTTTATATAGGAAGACAAAAGACCCAGAATAGTAAACACAATACTAAAGAATAGGAATAAAGTTAGAGGACTGACACTACCTGACAGGAAACAAGGCAGTGTAGTGCTGGTAAAAGAATAGATGAATACGTCAGTGGAACAGAATAGAGACCCCAGAAATAGATAGACCCACATGAATATAGTCAACTGATCCTTGACAAAGAAGCAAAGATAATATAAGGGATAAATGATAGTCTTTTCAACAAATGGTGCTGGAATAACTGGTCATCCACTTGCAGAAAAAAGATGAATCTTGACAAAGACCTTACATTCTTAACAAAAATTAGCTCAACATGGGTCATAGCCAGTAAAATACAAAACCAAAAAAGTCCTAGAAGACAAAATAGGGGAAAAGAAAGAATGATCCATGAAAGTAAAAACTGATAAATTGACCTTCATTAAAATTTAAGATCTTTGCTCTGTGAAACGCACTGTTAAGAGTATGAAAATACATGCCATAGACTAGGAGAAAATATTTGCAAAACATATATCTAGTACAGAACTTATATTGAAAATATATAAAGGACTCTTACACTGAACAATAAGAAAACAGCCCCGTTAAAAATGAGCAAAAGAACTGAAGAGACAGCTCAGCAAAACAGATAAGATTGCAAATAAGCATGCAAAAAGATGCTCAACTCGTATGTCGCTAGGGAATTGAAGACTACAGCAACAATGAAGTATCACTACACACCTATTAGAATGTCCAAAATCCAAAATGTAGACAACACCAAATGCTAGTAAACATGTGGAGCAACAGGAATGCTCATTTATTGCTGATGGCAGTGCAAAATGATATAGCCACTTTGGAAGACAGTCAGGCAGTTTCTTACAAAGCTAAACATAGTTTTACCATATGATCCAGCAATTGCACTCCTCGGTATTTACCCAAATGAGTTGAAAACTTATATCCACACAAAAACCTGCTTACAAACACTTATAGCAGCTTTATTCATAATTGCCAAAACTTGGAAGTAACCAAGATGTCCTTCAGTAGGTGAATGGATAAACAAACTGTGGTACAGCCTATGTGTCTATCCACACAATTGAATATTATTCAGCAATAAAAAGAAATGAGTTATCAAGCCATGATAATACATGGAAAAATCTTAAATACATATTGTCAAGTGAAAGAAGCCAGCCTTAAAAGCTACATACTGTAAAATTTCAACTATATGACATTTTGGAAAAGGCAAAACATTAAAGAGAGTGAAAAGATCAGTGGTTGCTAGAGGTTCAGGCTGGAGGGAGGGATGAACAGGTATATAACAGGAGATTTTTTAGGGCAGAGAAACTATTCTATATTATACAATAATGGTGGATATATGTTATACATTGTCAAAATTCATAGAACTGTAGAACACAAAGAGTGTGCACAAATGCAAGCTATAGACGTGAGTTAATAATAATATATCAATATCAGTTTATCAGTTGTAACAAATGCACCACATTAAAGACGTTAATAATAAGGGAAACTGGGGTGGGGGATGGGGTAACTCCGTTGAATTTTTTTGTAAATCCGAAACTGTTCTAAAATAAAGTTTATTATTATTATTATTATTATTTTTTGAGATGAAGTCTCACTCTGTCACCCAGGCTGGAGTGCAGCGGCACAATCTCAGCTCACTGCAAACTCCACCTCCCAGTTTCAAGTGATTTGATTCTCCTGCCTCAGTCTCCCGAGTAGCTGAGATTACAGACGCCTGCCACCACACCAGGCTAATTTTTGTATTTTTAGTAGAGACGGGGTTTCACCATGTTGGCCAGGCTGGTCTCGAACTCCTGACCTCAAGTGATTCACCTGCCACGGCCTCCAAAGCACTGGGATTACAGGCATGAGCCACCGTGCCTGGTCTAGTTTTTTAAAGATGAAAATACCAAGTGGTGGTGGGGATAATGAGCAGCTGAGACTCTTACACACTGCCGGTGGGAATGCAAAATTATATAGCCACTTTGGAGAATAGCTTGACAATTTCTTATAAAGTTAGACATTTACTTTGCATATAACCCCAGGAGTCCCCTTCTAGGTATTTACCTAGCATAAATAAAAATATATGTGAAGCAAAAACCTGTACAAGAACATTTATAACAGCATTGCGACATGGCTAAATAGTGGGAAAAAAACAAATGTCCCTAAACTGTTGAATGAATAAATTACTCAGCAATAATAAAGAATAAACAATAATGAAAATATGCAAAAACATGGATGAATCCTAAAAGTAAGTGCTAATTAGAAGAAGCCAGACACAAAAGACTACATACCAAATGTTTCCATTGATGTGATAGCATAAAAGAAACAACACTTTGAGGACAGTAAACCTAAGACCTAAAACCATAAAATTCCTAGAAGAAAACCTAGGCAATACCATTCAGAACATAGGCATGGGCAAAGACTTCATGTCTAAAACACCAAAAGCAATGGCAACAAAAGCCAAAATTGACAAAGGGGATCTAATTAAACTAAAGAGCTTCTGCACAGCAAAAGAGACTATCATCAGAGTGAACAGGCAACCTACAGAATGGGAGAAAATTTTTGCAATCTATCCAACTGACAAAGGGCTAATATCCAGAATCTACAAAGAACTTAAACAAATCTACAAGAAAAAAACAACCCCATCAAAAAGTGGGCAAAGGATATGAACAGGCACTTCTCAAAAGAACACATTTATGCAGCCAACAAACATATGAAAGAAAGCTCATCATCACTGCTCATTAGAGAAATGCAAATCAAAACCACAATGAGATACCATCTCACACCAGTTAGAATGGCAATCATTAAAAAGTCAAGAAACAACAGATGCTAGAGAGGATGTGGAGAAATAGGAACGCTTTACACTGTTGGTGGGAGTGTAAATTACTTCAACCATTGTGGAAGACAGTGTGGCAATTCCTCAATGATCTCGAACTAGAAATACCATTTGACCCAGCGATCCCATTACTGGGTATATATCCAAAGGATTTTAAATCATGCTACTATAAAGACACGTGTACATCTATGTTTATTGTGGCACTGTTCACAAAGACTTGGAACCAACCCAAATGTCCGTCAGTGATAGACTGGATAAAGAAAGTGTGGCATATATTCACCACAGAATACTATGCAGCCATAAAAAAGGATGAGTTCATGTCCTTTGCAGGAACATGGATGAAGCTGGAAACCATCATTCTCAGCAAACTAACACAAGAACAGAAAACCAAACACTGCATGTTCTCACTCATTAGTGGGAGCTGAACAATGAGAACACATGGACACAGGGAGGGGAACATCACACACTGGGGCCCGTCAGGGGGTGGGAGGCTAGGGGAGGGATAGCACTAGGAGAAATACCTAATGTATGTGACAGGTTGATGGGTGCAGCAAACCACCATGGCACATGTATATCTATGTAACAAAACTGCACGTTCTGCACATGTACCTCAGACTTATAGTATAATAAAAAAAAAAAAAAGAAAAGAAAAAGAAAACAGATAGATGGTTTCCTGGAATTGTAGGTAGAAGAAAAGAACTGGCTGCAAAGGGGCCCAAAAGAACCTGTTATAGTAAGGGAAATTTTCTCTATCCTTATTGTGGTGGCACCGGTGGTAGTGGTTACACAATCATATACATGTGTCAGAACTTAAACTGTACACTTACAAAGGGTAAGTTTTATTTTATGCTAATTATACATTAATAAATCTGACTAAAAAATAAAGTTGCCTGGGACTAAATCTAATATGTAAGAGTATTATCAATAAATTTACCAACCTTCATCAAAGGTTGCAAAAAGTCCTGAATAAATGCCAAGATATAACATATTCATGAATAGGAAATCTCTGTCAAAAGGATGTCAATTCTTCTTCAAATCATTCTACAGATTCAATATAATTTCAAGAAAAACAAACATTATTTTCTTGTAATTTGATAATTTCGTTTTAAAATTAAGGTAAGTGAGGAAAGGACCAAAAATAAGATAATCCAGAAAAAACAAGAAAAGTGGTGTGAGTGTGGATGAAGGCAGTGAACAGTAACTTGACTTTACAAATATCAAATTCGTTATAAAGCATTTGTAGGTAAAACAACACAAGTGTAGACAAATAGATTAATGAAACACAATAGAGAGCCTAGAAATAGACTCAAACACATATAAAAATTAGGCAATGTGGTGGAGTTTGCGGTCTAAACTAGTTGTGTATAAATGATATTTAAAACAAATAGTATTTTACATGGAAAAAAAACTGCTTAATATTTTACATCACATACAAGAATAAAATCCAGATGGATTAAAGAACTAAGTGTAAAGAAAATTTCTTGAACTCTTCAGCAAAATTTTGGAGAACATTTTTTATGATCATAGCATCAGGAATATCTCTTAAAGCATGATACAAAAAGCACAATTCATGGAGGAAAAGATTGATAAACCTGATATGAAAATGTAAAACTTCTGTAATGATAAAGGACCCCATAAACAAAATAGAAAGCGAAGTAACATTATAGAAGCAGATATATGCTATATATATCACAAATAATTAGTATCCAGAATATATAAATAAGTCTTATGAATCAGTAAGAAGAAGCAACTGAATAGAAAATTCAGCAAATGTGAGTGGCCCTGAGTGTCACGTTTGGAGGGATGTGGAAAGGAATGAAACGGGGGCTAGACACAAAGAAAGTTAAAGTTTATATATAATGTTTCATTTATTTTATTAAAACATATCAAAAGCCAAAACGACAAAATGCTAACAGTTGTTCACTCTGAGTAGTATATATGTGGTTACTTGTTCATTGTTTTGAAAGATTCTCTGAGTTTCCCTTAAATTTCCAAAATAAAAAAAGGGAAAAAAAACAAGAAAATAACTTGTAAACTATACATTTATAATAATAAATTTCAGCAAAGTGAAAAAAATAGAAGTTAAAATCATAAATACTAATTTTCTGCATAATCAATTAGCAGAAATAATGGTAGAAAGATCCCCTTCACAAAATTAAGAGCATAAAATAAATGTTACTGCTACCCATTCTATACAGATAAATTTAGGCTTAGAGAGACTACACAGCTAGTAAGTAGAAGAGCTGAGGTAATAAAAATTATTTTAAAGCTACAATAATATTTAAACTTTGTAACTAGGACAGGAAGAGACAGACTAAAAGAAATGAAGAATAGATAAATTCCAAACAGAATCTATTATATATTACAATTTGTATATATTACAGAACAGTGGGAATGAATGAATTATTCAGTGTTTGGTGCTATGAAACAATTGGCAGGGAAAACAATTTAGAAAATTACCTCACACTACACAGCAAAATAAATTCCAGAGGGATTAAACATAAGCAATAAAAACTAAAACAAAATTCATTTAAGCACTTATCCAATTTTGAATGAGGAAGAAATTCTTAAACACGAATTCATCAGAAGAAATTACAAATGAAAAGATAAATATAATTACATAAAATTAAGATTACTATGCATAAAAGTCAATTTAAAATGTAAACTTTTAAATGTAAACATTTAAAATGTAAGTGGGAGAATATTTTCCCTACATTTGACAGAAAGAGGTCTAATGGGTCAACTAAACATACATTGCCCATACAAATTTAAAAAAATGTAAGTTCTTAATGGAACATGTACAAAGATCATAAATAGATGTTTATAGAAAGGAAACAAAATTAATCAAGAAATATAAAAAAGTATTCAATCTCATTATAATAAAAGAAACACGTATTAAAACAGTAAGGTACCATTTTGCCCCTAACAGATCGGTAAAAATTTTAAAAGAATGGCAATGGCCAGCACTGTCATGGGTGTATGAGCAGTAATCAACAATCTTATACAGTAGAGTGGAACACCTTCACATAGATATCAAGAGCCTTTAAAACGTTAGTATCTTCAGGCCCAGTAATGTCTTTCATAAAAACTCATCTTAATAATTCATTCAACAAATATTTAGTAAGTATCTACAATATGTCAGACCTTATTGTAGGTTCTAGCGGATATAAGAGTGAACAAAATGGAGAAAAAAATCCCCGGGCTTGAGGGACTTACACCCTAAAACAGGAATCCAAACAATAGATGTAATGTATCTAGTCTATCAGGTGATGACACAAACCAAAGGTTTAAAAAAGTAAAGCAAGAAAGGGGAAGAGTGAGTGTTGGAAAAGATGGGTTTGCATTTTTATGTGAGATCATTTAGAATTCAAATGTGACATTTGAATAAAGACCTAAAAAAGGTGAGGTTCAAAGAAGCAAAAATAATTTAAACGATCAATATGTGATCTGTCATACAATTATGGTAGAAATTGAAAACTGAAAAGTATGCAGCCATTAAAAATTGTTTGAAGGCTGCTGACCGATGTGGGGAAATGCTCACAATATAATACCAATGAAAAAGCCAGATCAAAAATAGTACATATAAGATGTGATCCCGATTATATAAACACAGAAACACATCTGAAAGGAAATACAGCAAGGTATCTCTGGACTAGGGATTTAGAGGTGATTTTTTTTTTAAATGTCTCTTCATTTTCAAAATTTTCTGTAATGCGGTTGTTTTACTTTTATAATCAGGAAAAAACAATGTAATGGTAGATATTACAATCTTAAGGTATATTAGAAAATATACTCAATTTTTTAAATGGAAGTGCTAGCCATCCATGCTTAAAGTACTGGGTCCCGTTTTGGACATCATATATTAAGAGGGACACTGAAGATAGAAGTGTCTACTGTATAAGTTTCTCAAAATATATATCACATAAGCTCAAGAACTAGCAATATATAGACTGAAGAAAAGATGAGAAGAACAACCATGGTTAAACATTTGAATGGCCACTACAAGGAAGGGGAACAGCAATTACACAGTATAGCTATTGCTCCAAGGTGCAAGATCAATAGGTTGAATTCAGAAGACAGATTGCAGGTCAGTATGAAGAATAACTTGCTAACAACCAAGCTGTCTGTTATCTGGTGGTGTTAAGCAACCTTTCCTGAAACCATTCACACTGAAAACAGATGACCATATGTACTGGGTGATAAGACTGCCATCACATGATTGTTAAGGGCCCTGCCATTTCTGAACTCCTCTTTTACTATTTTGAAAGGTTATTTTATGCTATGGTCACTTACATAATTCCATCTCCATCCACCTCCCCTTCCCTTAAAAACTATATATAATACTTGTGTGTTTTTTTTTTTTTGTTTTTTTTTGTTTGTTTGTTTGTTTTTTTTTGGCCGGGCGCGGTGGCTCACGCCTGTAATCCCAGCACTTTGGGAGGCCGAGGCGGGCGGATCACGAGGTCAGGAGATCGAGACCATCCCGGCTAAAACGGTGAAACCCCGTCTCTACTAAAAATACAAAAAATTAGCCGGGCGTGGTGGCGGGCGCCTGTAGTCCCAGCTACTTGGGAGGCTGAGGCAGGAGAATGGCGTGAACCCGGGAGGCGGAGCTTGCAGTGAGCCGAGATCCCGCCACTGCACTCCAGCCTGGGCAACAGAGTGAGACTCCGTCTCAAAAAAAAAAAAAAAAAAAAAAAAAAATACTTGTGTTTTTTAAGAAATCAGTTTTTAAAGAGAAAAGTACCCTTCAAAATATATATCCTGGAGATTTTTATTCCCCCTTCTGTGTATATTCAGGAGACATATTTTGTGCAGACATCAATACGTTTAAAATCATGCTTTTAAGTATAAAAATGCTTTTATATTACCAACTAGTATTTCCCTTCACATACATCTTCCCCCCAGGAAGAGACTACCTGGACCATTACATTTCAGAATGAGATAATCACCTTGTGTGTATTTAACAGTATTATGCCCCATCTTATTCTCAGTGACTTTAGTTTATTTCAAACCAGCAGTAATAGAAATACCACCTAATATCCAACTTTACTATATATTTTACAATACGGTCAGTTCTTTCCTTAACTCTCAGGACAGTTACAATTTCAGTCACCTCAGGAATAAAAAATGGAAGGTGCATTTCAATGACCCCTTCCAAAGTCTGTGAATACTCCCACCAAAATTATCAACCTTCAGAATTCTGTATAAAGTTATTAGTGTTGCTTATAGAAGTGACCAAACCTGAGCTACCTGCACAGAACCATGATAACACAATATAGAGCAGAACATGAACTATAGAACCTTACAGCTTGGAGGCTCTTTCTAAATATCTTAATGGATTCATGTCAGTCACCCTATTCAAAACCCTTTTCCAAACCTCCCCCCACCGTATTTTACAGTTATGGAAACAGGCTCCAACAAGACAAGTGATATGTCACAACAAACCGAGTATCCAAGTCAGGACTAGGCTATCAGAAATCCCATTTTAAGAGGGATTTTTAATATCAAATTCTTCATATTTTTTATCAAGTGCCTCTTCCTATAAATTGCTGAATAGAGAGAGTTGGAGGACCTGGGAAAGGCACTGGGTCTTTGTGAATTTCAGTTAAGCTACATGACATATAACCTAGTTTTTAAGTAAGTCACTGCTCCTGTGGACATGAGCCTGGAGGGACCCTTCCCTTCCCTTACTATTGAAGCACAGTCATCTGCCAAACATTTGCAAAATGCGTATGCATCATCCAACTGAAGTGTTGGTAGGCACTGTGACCATCAGAGTGGGAAGGACTGTTATAAACCAGATATCATCTATCACTACTCAACTCTGCTGTGAAGTTTAATAATGCTGACCACACCTTTCTTTTTAAAGCGGTACATTTTCCTCTACATATGAATCACAATTTATGACTACATAGTTCAGTGGTCTGTCGAATAATGTCTATCTCACCATCTAAACCATGAGCCCAGGATGGCAACAACTTTGTCTGTTTTGCTCACCATTATATTCTCCATGCCTAGTAAATGTTATGTATGCAAGAAATAAATTAGAAGGTGCCTCTCCTCTCTTGGCACCTTCATAACACTGTACTCTTCTAATTTTCCTTCCATATCCCTGACTTTTTCTCCTTTGTAGCCTTCACATAAGGTTCATTGTTCTCTCCCATATCCTAAAAAAAAAAAAAGCATTCTTCAAAGTACCACCCCTGAATCTCTTTTATTCTATTTCAAGTATTGAGAGGCAATGACTCTCAAATCACTCTCTCCTACTGACTTCTTTCCAGAGTTCCAATCCCATATTTTCAAATGTGCTCAGTACCTTTTACTGGGCTACAACAATATTACTACCTGTGTGGCCTCAGGCAAATCAAGTCCCTCACCCTGTCAAGATGGGTTTGCTCATCCACAAAATGAGGGAGTTGCATCTCCTTTGCATATAAAGTCCTAATTTTCCCATCTAGCATTCAGTATGATTGACAGTCAAGCCCTCCATCTATCTTGCCAAACACATCCCACATAAGTATTTCTGCATACACTTTACTCCAACACAACTAGCCTCTGAATAGAATACCTTTCCCATCCCCCAATTCTGCACACTCAAAGTTTGTCTCATCTTCAAAGCTCATTTCAAATGCCACTTCCAGGAAGGTGTCTTTGATCTCCTTAAAGCCCTTTGCTTCTCTCTTATGGGTGTAGATCTCATCTCCTAATACTATAGTTGTTTGTCTATTTCTTCTCTTTCCTACTTGACTGTGTCATCTTGGAGGGCAGAGGCTATTCTTAAATAATCCTGTATCTCCCACATTATCTTTGGTTCATCATAGGCACTTAGTAACCTTATATTGAATAGATTCCATTTAAGCCATGTCAGTTATCCTGCTCAAAGCCCTTTAATCAGTCCCACTCTTTCTAGAATAAAGACCAACAGCCTTATAATGGCCCACTCCAGCAATCCCTTCAAAATAAAATTGAGATACCAAGTAACCCTCTGAAGTAGTCAAGTTGGCTTTCTATCCACTGTAAGAAATTTTTAAAATGGGATGAATCCTGTTTCCCCAATGCAGAAGAAAGCCCAAATTACCTTTCCTTTATTGAATGTATGGCCCCACAACTAATGTCAAATGGTTCATTCATTTATTTAAAAAACATCTGTTAAGCCTCCTACTCTATGTCATATACTAGGCTAATGGCTAACGGTATAATTAACTGAACTGATACAGCCCTTCACCCACTTGGAATATATAACTGAAAGCGTAATTTGTAGAAACTCTAAGGAAATTAAGAGTTTTAAGAAAAAACAAACATTTTATCTGTCACAACACATGAACAATGCAACTTTGTGTAAATGTTAAATTCTTCATTAAAGGAGATATTTAACTGTAGGGTAAAAGATCATGACAGGTGATTTAGAAATTAAAGCTGGGTCTAATTTGGGCCTCTTAAATTAGATGGGCAGGTAGCCTAGACCAGTGCACTCAAAATGTAGCCCGCCAAATCAGTGCCTGTCTGTGAACTTTTATTACCAGGCAGTAAGGACCAAAGTACAGAAGTCAAGAGTAAGCACTTAGAAAATGTTACAGCAATTTGAAAAAATCATTTTATGTCTGTAGAATCTAATAATACAAATGCGGGCTTATCTTTTGTATGTCTTTTCTTTCATTTTCTAGTAATTCATGGTTAATTTATTTTACTAAATTAACAGTCTTCTGTGATGGATTAGGAAACAAACAAACAAATGACAACAAACATTTTCCTTCACTAGGGGAGTTTGACCAGTACTCTACTAGAGCTTTGCTACTTGAAGTGTGGTCAGTGGAACAGCAGTTTCAGGATCACCTAATAGATTGCTAAAATGCAAAATCCGAGGCCCCTGCCATAGACTCTCTGAATCACAATTCGCATTTTAACAAGATTCCCAGGAGATATTTTTACACATTAAAGTTTGAGAAGCACTGGCCTAACGATTTCCGAAGCCTCTCATAACTCTGAAATCTTATAATTTACTTCAGATAGAGAATTTCAGAGTTGAAAGACCCTCAGAGACACAGTCCATCTCAACATCTTACAGATGGAAAAACTGAGGCACATGGAGGGGAAGTCATATGTCCAAGATAATCAGCAAATCATCTGAGCTAGGAATGGAACCCAAATTTGCTAACAGCCAAGTCAGTGTTCCATTCTAGCAACCACATACTCACCCCTTTCCACCCAGTCCCACTGCATTGTATCCCCTCAGTGATGTAATTATTCCTGAGGTGTTTTCTGATAAAACAATATATTCTTCTACCTTCTGCATACTGTATGAACCTTGAACTACCACTATTTCAAATGTGGTACTTTTCTTCATGAAATTAGAAAATTTCATAATTTTCTTTATGAAAATTCCTGCCACTCAAATCTTCCCACACGCCTATTGTCCGGATGCCATATAGACATCCTGGGGGCTTTAGAAGGACTAGTACTAACCAATTTCTGGTCTTTAGGAATATGAAAGCGACCTTCCTTGCTCCCATCAGTCCAGTTGACACCAGATAGCAAGCTCATCCAAGGAAGAGAATATACACTATCAGGGCTGCTCTAGAAAACTCCGTAGGGTCAATTTGTGGCTAACAAAACAAGTGGGCTATTAGGCCATATTAAGAATAGTCTAATATCCAGCATGAAGTAAATGATAATCCTTTACTCTGTGGTCTTATTGGATCCAAGGGTTAAGAGGGAGGCATGATTGCTGTCTTCAACTAACTGAAGAACTATTATTAAGAAAAAGCAAATTTGTTCCAGATAGT
Source organism: Homo sapiens (assembly GCF_000001405.40). Lineage (NCBI taxonomy): Eukaryota > Metazoa > Chordata > Mammalia > Primates > Hominidae > Homo > Homo sapiens. The sequence goes on from NC_000023.11 coordinate 152,449,170, forward strand.
CCCAAAGAACCAACGAATATAAGTTACTGGGAAACAGACTTTGGCTTATGATGGGGAATACTTTCTGACAATCAGAGTTGCTCCATGACACAAAGAGCCACCTAATGCACTCTCTGTCACTGCAGGGAGTTCAACTAGAAATCAGTCAACAAATTGGATGCTTAGGATAAATTCAAGAACTGAGTAGAGAAATAAAGCTTAATGAATGACCTTTTGGGCTCCTTCCAGTTCCAAGGTTTTAGTATTCTAAAATTTTCGGCACAGAACAACTCCAAATGCTCAGGAAATAAGAATGAGGTCTGTTTTTAAAAGGTGCAGTTTGGAGCATGTTGGGTGGATGAGGCTATAAAAAGTGAAGTACGATTTTCAAGGAAAGGAAGCTGACCAATCAAAGTCTTTTGGGCAGCCCCTCCAGAAATCCAGGTGAAGCCCGGCTCCAGGCTGAGTTGCTGTTACTCTACACGAAAGCCAGGCCGCTACTTTCCAAAAAACCTTGCCAAGCCACACTGTACCTATTGTATCTACACTTGCCTAACAGACAAAGGTGCAAAATTCTCCCCAAGAAGGCAGTAGTGCTTCATGGTTAAGACCACGGATTCTGGAACCAGGTTGCCAGTTTAATTTCCAACTGAGACATGTAATTGCTCTGTAATCTTGGATAAGTTACTTAACCTCTCTGTGCCTCAATTTTGTGAGTAAACCAAAGATAATAATAGTGTCTGTTATTCAATGCACTATTCTGCTACAGTAATTTAATGAAGTAATACACACCAAACACTCAGCCCAGAATCCAAAATATACTACATACTCGATAATTTTAGCAATTAGTATTAGGGATGTCAGAATTACTACCACAGGCACAGCAGCGTCACTCACTTAGAAAGCTCCCATCAAACAATTGGATCCCTTCCCCTACCAGTTCTGAAGGGCTATACTACAAGAGCCTCAATCAGTCTTTGCAGAGCTCCAGACAACCAGAACTTGCTGACTCTCAATAAGCCAAACTACTCACGTTAGTAATCCTACCTCATCACCCTGCTTTCCATAAATCCAACAGCCACCCTTCCCCCAGTCCTCTTGCCCATGCCACCCGCAGCCACAGCCACAGCCACAGTCAGAGGAGCAACAAACTGGGAGGCCAGTTGCAGACAAACCATCAGGTGTTTCCTCCCTTCCAAGGACACAGCTGGACTTAACATGATGCCTATGAGTGAGATGGGGTGGGGTATCTCAATCTCTGATCTAGGATGTCAGCTCAATTATCTGGAATTGAGGGTGGGCAGGCAATGGAGCTTCTCGCCGGGAAACAAGGCAAACCTCCCAAGTTTGTGGAGGAAGTCAGGCCCAACCCCACAGTGAGCCCCTCAAAGGAAGGGGGGAGGGCTCAATCTGCTTTAAAGGAAGCAGTTATTTACAACTTTCTACTCACTTGCATGTGGGGGAGGTAATGGGGAGATGGGGAAAGAGGCTGCAAGGTACCCTCCTTCTTTCTTATTTCCAGCAGTGAGAAGCAGCTGCGGAGAAAGAGTTAAAGAAGGGAGAAAGCTCCAGCCATTACTACATCCCTGGTGCCTAGAGCTGTCTGGGGGGTCATGACAGTGCTGTCTGCTTTGGCTAGGGGCCACTCCGTGGCTTTCTGCAGCAGCTGCTGGGGCCCCCCAAGCAATTTGCAAGGTCAGTGCTGACCTGCTTCCAAAGAGGAACAAAACAATTCACTGACAATGAAGCAAATCACGCATATACCACATCGCAACCCCCCTTCCTCAAATCGGGTTTTACCCCAGTGTCTCCCTGCTCAGATGCCGCCTCTGGGCTTCCACCAGCCCCACTGGGGAACCCAGGATAGCATCACAGCTGCAGAGCATGCCTCGCCTCCCGGCCAACCCAAGGAGACTCTCAGTACGGGGGAGAGATGCTATCGCTAAAGGAGACCTGAGCTTGGGGGAGGGGGAAGAAGGAACATCAATGTTTCTTACCGAGCTCTACAGTCTGAGCGGAAAGGAGAGAAGGATGAATGAACTGAAACAAGTTGGAGGTTGAGCCCTGACAGAGCTCGGCTTCTGGCTTCTTCTTCTCTCTCTGGGTCTCTCTCCTGGTCCCTCTCTCGGTCTGTCTCTCTGGTTTGCTCGCTAGCTTGCGCGCGCTCACGCTCTCTCGCTCTCTCTCTCTCTCTCTCTCTCTCTCTCTCTCTCTCTCAATCTGCCTCCCTCCCTCTCTGTCAGTTTCTCCCTCCCCTCCTCCCCTCCCCTTCTCCCCTCCCCCTTTGCTGGCTTTAGGTTCACCACTGGTGCTTAGCACGCGGCTGTGCTGGGGCTCTGAATACAGTACTGCAAGGCTTTAGATGTGGTTGTTTTACGAAATACTAAAGTAGTATTTTATTCCTTAAGGCATCCAACAGAGAAATAGAGGGAAGCCCAGAGAGAAAGGGAGGAGCAGAGGCAGCAAAGGGAAGAGAAAGAGAGCAAAAGGGTATGAGCGAATAGGAGGATAAAGGAAGTATGGGTTACTGTAGCTGATGTGTGATGCTTACTTGCTGCTCCGAGACTGAAGAGTGAGCTTCCTCCTTTTTCCCTCTGTCTCCCTTATATCCTTATGGGCGTGCCTTCTAACCCAGGCTGCAAATAAAGGTTTGACAATCCTGTCTGTTCAGATTCCATCTCTGGGGACAATAATGAGCTAGAAAAATGTACATCAAAGGGGTTGTCATTCATACTCCACTAAGAAGAAAGAGTTCCGCCACATTGATCCCCTGTTGACCTAACTTCCACCCCCACCCTCAACCAAGTAGAAGTGCAGACCCAATTCAAAACTATCAGTTCTAGCTTCCCTGTAGGTAAGACAGACAAGCAGCAGAACCACAATGCTTTCTTTTCAAAAATTCCAAAGGGAATATAGATGTATGTAATTGTGTGAGCCTATACATGAGTTGCACAAGGACTAAGGTGGGGAGAAGGATAATTATTGACTCAAAGTATAAAAGAACTATATTCCCATTGGGTCAAAAGAAAAAAAGCAACCTAGGCAAAGCACAGTAACAATGCAGCATAGAGTGGAAAAAGACCTAGGCTAAAAATAAAATAAAGGAACTTGAGTTTGAGTTCTGCCTCTGAAAATTGCTGTGTTGCTTTCAACGAGTTCTTCAATCTGGCCCTCAATATCCTCAGTGACCAAATGAATGGTAATGGAAATAGATGATCTTAAAAGACCCTTCCAGAACTAACAGTCTAGGAATCTAAAGACAGGAAAATTCCAGGTAAAGGAGAAGTTGGCCCTTAGAAAATAAAAACTAAACTGCCACATTTCAAAAGTTCTCCAAAGGTGAGTCCCCAAATGCGACTCCAAATCACATTGATTCAACATTCCATCTTTTGTGTTTCAGGGATAATACCAATATAAGCACGTGAATAAAGAGCTGTTCCTATCAAAGAATTCAGCATCTGCTTACATATAATGATTAGTATAAAAGTTTTCTTAGTCAAACTCTTCATATTGTGATTTCTAGTCCTGTTAGAAAAATTCAGAGGGCATCTAATTGAAAGTGAGTTATATAGTGTGTTTAAGTATACTAGTGTCAATATACATACAGTGACTGGGACATAATAGGCATTTACAATGTTGCCCATAGTGTGCCATTTCTCTTTAAACTACCATCCTGTTGGTTTTTTTCCCCCAAATTTCTAATGCTCTCTACTCCTGCCAAATGAAGTACATGTGCTACACTCCTATACATCTTCAAAAGCATGTGTCCATACATTGAGTAGAAGATAGATAGGTACTCGTAAGCTTAGAGTCACTGAGCTAAAGGGACCCATAAAGATAACCATGTCATTGTACAGAAAAAGAAACTAGACTAAATAGAAAATATAATTCACACAAGGTCATAGTGAGTCAGTGGCAGAATCAAGGCCAGTACTCAGATTGCTGACTGCAGGTACAGTATTTTTCTCTACAAAATTAACATGTAACTTGCACATAAAGCAAGTGTGTATGTGAGCATAAAGCTATAAATACTTTTTCCTGCATAGGTACCCATTTTCATGTGTAGATTTGTTTGCATAAATGTCCATTGGATTTAATAGATTAGTATACTGGCAAAAAGAAATATTAAGGTTGCTGTATTAGTTTTCTAGGGCTGCCATAACAAATTACCATAAATTCAGTAGCTTAAAACAACAGAAATTTATTGTCTCACAGTTCTGAAGGTCAGAAGTCTAAAATCGAGATGCTGGCAGGGTCAAACTACTCCAAAAGTTCTAGAGAATGATTTCTTGTCTCTTCCAGCTTCTGGTGGTTTCCAGTGTTCCTTGGCTTATCACTGAATCTCTGCCTCGGTCTTCAAATGGTCTTCTCCTCTGATTTCTGTGTGCCCAAATCTCCCTCTTTTTTCTTATAAAGACACCAGTCATTGGATTTAAGGCCCAACCTAAATCCGGAATGATTTCATCTCAAGATCTTTAACTACTTCCTTTTGCAAATACCATACCATTGAAATGAGGTCACACCCTGAGGTTATAGACGAACATGAATTTTGGGGGACACTATTCAGTCTACTACAATTGAAAACTTTTCATCTAATAAAGATACCAAACAAACAAATAAACCATCTGGGTGCCACCATTTATTTTAAAGAAAAGATATTTTAATATAAATAAGTTGGATTAAGACACTCTCTGAACAAAAAAACTCTTCTCTGAATCATACAATTATACCTGTATGAAAACTTCACAGCATTTTCATAATTTTCCCACTTGACTGCAAACCAAAAACAAACAAACAACAACAACAACAAAAAAAACAGAATCCTTTATTAGGAAAACTTCTGGCAATGGTGAAGAAGCTTCTATCAGACCAACCCTGATGCAGATAACAATAATAAACAGTGGACCAAATATATAATAAAACAATTTAAATGCACAGGAAAGCAACCCATAAACAGGCAAAAATTGAAAGGGAATTAATAATTGAAAGGAGGGAACAATACTAAGTGAGTTTTTCCTTTTCTGGAAATTTTTGTCTGATGGCAGCCCCCAGGCCAAAGCAGTGAATAAACTCTAGAGAAACTAGAATCAATGTTGCAACTGTTAAATGTTTAACAACTGGATCTTGAGGAAAATTAATAAAAAACAAATTCATAGTATTTGCCAATTTCAATGGTGTAAATACTTCTACCACGGACCATTCCATGAACATGGAGTTGAATAGAGATATGCACAGTAGGCATTCACAAACCAGTGTTAGCCAGCTCCCACACACAACTGCTCACAGTCCAAGTGTCTGAAAGAACCAGACGGCAGAATTCAGGATGACCACGGTAGTTGAAAAGCCATGAGAGAAATTCAATAATTTAAAAAACTAGGGAGAGGAAGCCCCAAATTCTGTGTATAAACTACCCAGCTGTCTGGTGAAACCATGAAATATTTATGTGGGAACAGATTCCAAAAAGCCTAAATAAAGCTGAAAGAATTAAACAGAGTTTTCAGTGCTGCCAATGAGGGAGAGTTTGGAGTTTCACTTCAGCCCCATTAACTGTCTACTAAAACAAACAAAATCAATGCTCTAGAGAAAAAAATAAAGGTATCCTACAATATATAATTCACTATTTTCAGGGTACACTCAAAAATTACTACCAAAGCAAAGATATAGGAAAATATTACTCATATCCAAGGAAAAAATAATAATAGAGACCAGCCCTAAGGTAAACCAGATGTTTGAATTAGGAGAAAGAATTTTAAATCACATATCATAATTACACTAAGGGAAATAAAGAAAAACACATGTGTAATAAATGAACAAATAGGAAGTCAGAATATCTGAAGTAAAATTCAGTGAGTTGGTGTTTAATGGCAGGTTGAAAATGGCAGAAGAAAGAGTAGTTTCACTGGAAGAAAAATCTAGTGATATTATCTAATCTGAAGTACAGATTAGAGAGAGAAAGATTGAAGAGGATGAGCAGAGTGTTAGAAATACATAGGATAATATCAAAGTTATAAACATAATTGGAGTCCCAGATGGCAAACAATAAGAGAAGAGGAAGAAAAAACATTTGAAACAAAAGCCTAACCACAAGACAATATCCCTGATAATTATTGATGGAAAAATCCTCAACAAAACATTAGCAAACCAAATTCAGCAATACACTAAAAAGATCATTCATCATGACCAAGTGGGATTTATCCCTGGGATGCAAGGATGGTTCAACATACACAAATCAATCAAAGGGATACATCATATCAACAGAATGAAGAACAAAAATCATATGATCATTTCAATAGATGCTGAGAAAACATTTGATAAAATTCAACATCCCTTCATGACAAAAATCTTAAAAACTGGGTGTAGAAGGAACATACCTCAACATAATAAAAACCATATACAGCAGACCCACAGCTAATATGATACTGAATGGGGAAAAACTGAAAGCCTTTCCTCTAAGATCTGGGACACAACAAGGATGCTCACATTCACCACTGTTATTCAACATAGTACTGGATGACTTAGCTAGAGCAATCAGACAAAAGAAAGATATAAAGGGCATCCACATTGGAAAGGAGGAAGTCAAATTATCTTTCCTTGCAGACATGATCTTATATTTGGAAAAACCTAAAGACTCCACAAGCACAGGAAATCAAAGCAAAAATGGACAAATGGGATCACATCAAATTACAAAGCTTTTGCCCAGAAAAGGAAGCAATCAATAATGTGAAAGGACAACCCACAGAATGGGAGAAAATATTTGTAAACTACCCATCTGATAAGGGATTAGTAACTAGAATATATAAGGAGCTAACACAACTCTATAGAAAAAAATCTAAAAATCTGATTCAAAAATGGGCAAAAAAAAACTGGATAGACTTTTCTCACAATAAAACATACAAATGGCAAACAGGCATATGAAAAGGTGCAGAACAACACTAGTCATCAGGGAAATGCAAATCAAAACTACAATGAGATACAATCTCACCTCAGTTAAAATGGCCTATATCCAAAGGATAGGCAATAACAAATGCAGGCAAGGATGTGGAGAAAAGGGAATCTTTGTACACTGTTGGTGGGAATGTAAATTAGTACAACCACTATGGAAAACGGTTTGGAGGTTCCTCAAAAAACTAAAAATACAGCTACCTCATATGGTATCCAGCAATCTCACTGCTAGGTTTATACCCAAAAGGAAGGATATCAGTATATCAAAGAGATATCTTCACTCCCTGGTACTGCAGCACTATTCACAGTAGCATAGATTTAGAAGGTACCTAAGTGTTCATCAGCAAATGAATAGATAAAGAAAATGTGGTACATATACACAATGGAATACTATTCAGGCATAAAAAAGAATGAGATCCTGTAATTTGCAAAAACATGGATTAAACTGGAGGTCATTGTGTTAAGTGAAATAAGCCAGGCACAGAAGATAAACTTTGCATATTCTCACTTATTTGTGGGAGCTGAAAATCAAAGAATTGAACCCATGGAGATACAGTGTAGAAGGATGATTACCAGAGGCTGGGAAGGGTAGTGGGGAGGGATGGTTAATGGGTAGAAAAAATAGAATGAATGAATAAGGCCTAGTATATAATAGCACAACAGGGAGGCTATAATCAATAACAATTTAATTATACATCTAGAAATGACTAAAATAGTATAATCGGATTATTTGTGAGACAAAGGATAAATGCTTGAGGGGATGAATACCTCATTTTGTATGATATGATTATTATGCATTGCATGCCTGTATCAAAACATCTCATGTACCCATAAATATACCTACTACATACCCACAAAAATAAAAATTATTTTAAAAAGAATGGCTGTATATTTGCAAATATGATGAAAAACCATCAAATTGAATATATTAAATATGTGCAGGTTTGTGTATATCAACTATAACTCAATAAAGCTGTTTGAAAAAAAAACAAATATAATAAAACACATACATTTACAGATTCAACAAGCTCAATAAATTCCAAGCAGGATACCACACTCAGGCATATCATAGTCAAACTATTGAAAAACAAATTTAAATAGAAAACTTTGAAAGCATTAGGGAGAAAAAATGCCTACTGAGGAACAGAATAAAACTGACCTGTGACCTTTCTTTCTTTCTTTCTTTTTTCTGAGACGGAGTCTCGCTCTGTCTCCCAGGCTGGAGTGCAGTGGCGCCATCTTGGCTCATTGTGCAATCTCCGCCTCCCGGGTTCACGCCATTCTCCCGCCTCAGCCTCCAGAGTAGCTGGGACTACAGGCGCCCGCCACCACGCCCGGTTAGTTTTTTGTATTTTTAGTAGAGACGGGGCTTCACCGTGTTAGCCAGGATGGTCTCAGTCTCCTGACTTCGTGATCCGCCCGTCTCGGCCTTCCAAAGTGCAGGGATTACAGGCGTGAGCCACCGCACCCGGCCAACCTGTGACCTTTCATAAGAAAAAAAGACATCTTTAAAGTGCTGAATTTTTTAAAAACTCTATCAATACAGAATTTTACATTTATCAAAAATATCCCTTATTAATAAAGGCAAATACTGACATTTTCATTTAAGTGAACATTAGGACAATTTGTTATCAGCATGTTCATACGATAAGAAATACTAAAGGAAATTGTTGAGTCTGAAGGAAAGTGATACCAGATGAAAAGCTGGATCTTTAGGAAGGAATAAATAGCATCAGGAATGGTAATATGTGGATAAACATAAAATAATATTTTGCTCTTTATTTGATATACATATGAGAATACAAAAGAAAAATCATAACATTATAATGTGCAGTGTGTAGTATACATAGACATGATGTGCATGAAAACTATAATATGAAAGAGGGCATAGCGGCAAACCAAACTAGACATTGACAAGGTCCTTAAATTTTATGTGAGGCAATACAATATTAAATTGTAGTATACTTTGAAAAGATAAAGATGCATGGAGGAGTGGAGTGGAGATGCATGGAGGAGCAAGATGGAATAATAAGCCCCAGCCCCAACCCTCATTTCCTTACAGAAACACCTATTTAACAAAAATATATTAATCAAAATACCTCCAAGAGATGTCCAGAATCCAGTTAAGATGTTGAATACCCCAGATGAGCACAAAACACTAGAACAGGCCCACTGAAACAGTAAAAAAGAGCAATTTCATTTTACCTGTGTCATTCCTTCCCCCAAACCAGCAAAATTTGGCACCAAGTGAGATCATCTTGGCCCATGATTTCTCTCTCAGGAGAAAGGGAGAGTGGAGCACGCATCTAATATTTCAGGTCTGTCATTTCACTGCCTTAGGAACTAGTGTCTTATGGTGGTTGCCAGAGGCTAGGAGCAGGAAGGAATGGGGACTTACTGTTTACGGTGTATGAAGTTTCCATTTTACAAGATGAAAAGAATGATGGAACTAGATGGTGGTGATGGTTGCACAACATTATAAATGCATGTAATACCACTGAACTGTACACTTAAAAATGGTTAAGATGGTAAGTTATATAATATGTATATTTTATCACAATAAAACATTTGGAAAAACATTGAAGGAGAGATAACAAACAAAAGCTGAGGGACTCCATAAGCACTAGACCTGTCTTATAAGAAATGTTAAAGGGAGTTTCTCAAGTTGCAATGAAAAGATGCTAAGCAGCAACACAAAAGCGTATAAAAGTCTAAAACTCACTGGCAAGCCTGAATATTTAGAAAGATACAGAATACTGCAATATTGTAATGATTGGGTTTAAATCACTTTTGGTATAAAAGTTAAAAAATAAAAGTATTTTTATTTTTTATTATTTTTATTTTGTTTTATTTTAAAAATAAAAATAATTAAAAATTTTAACTATTTTTAAAATAAAAATAATAAATACAAAAGTGAGTTAGTGGCTACACAATACAAAAGATGTAAACTGTGATATCAATGACATAAAGTGGGGAGGGGAGAATTCAAAATGCAGAGTTTTGTATGCAATTGCTGTTAAGTTGTTATCAGCATAAAATGAACCATTATAACCGGAGGATATTTTATGTGAACCTCATGATAACCTCAAATAAAAGTATCTATTGAAAACACACAAAAGAAAAAGAGAAGAGAATCTAAGGATATCACTATTTTAAAAAATCAATTTAAAAAACCGACAAGAAGAATAAACAAAAGGAACAATAATAAAACAAGATAGAAAACAATAATAAAATGGCAATAGTAAGTTCATCCCTATTGTATTAGTCCGTTTTCATGCTGCTGATAAAGACATACCCGAGACTGGGAAGAAAAAGGGGTTTAATTGGACTTACAGTTCCTCATGGCTGGGGAGGCCTCAGAAACATGGGGGCCAGTCTTTCCTGTGCTATTCTCGTAATAGTGAATAAAGCTCATGAGATCTGATGCAGCAAAAGCAGTACTAACAGAAAAGTGAATAGCAATAAACGCTTACATTTAAAAAGAAAAAAAAAGATCATAAATAAACAATCTAACTTTAGAAATAATAAAGATTGGGGCAAAATTAAATGAAGAAAATAGAAAAACAAAATTTAAAAAATCAGTGAAACTAACAGTTGCATCTTTTTGAAAAGATCAATGAAATCGACAAAACATTAACTGAAATAACTAAGAAACAAAGAGAAAATAAAGGAGGAGACATTACAAATAGTATCACAGAAATACAAAGGCTCAGAAGAGACTACTATGAACAATTATACACCAATAAATAGAACAACCTAGGAGAAATGACTAATTTCCTAGAACCATAACATGTACTAAAACTGAATCATAAAGAAATAGAAAACATGAACAGAAAATTAACAAGAGGATTGAATTAGTTATCAAAAACAATCCAACACAGTAAAGCCCAGGACCTGATGGCTTCACTGATGAATTCTACCAAATATACATATATACGTATATATGTGTGTGTGTATATGTGTGTGTGTGTGTATATATATACATTTTTTTCTTTTTTGAGACAGAGTGTCACTCTGTCACCCAGGCTTGAGTGCAGTGGTGCAATCTCGGCTCACTGCAACCTCCACCTCCTGAGGATCAAGCGATTCTCCTGCCTCAGCCTCCCAAGTAGCTGGGACTACAGGCGTGTGCCACCACGCCCGGCTAATCTTTTGTATTTTTTTTAGCAGAGATGGGGTTTCACCGTGTAGCCAGGATGGTCTAGATCTCCTGACCTCGTGGTCTGCCCGTCTCAGCCTCCCAAAGTGCTGGGATTACAGGCGTGAGCCACAGCACCCGGCCAGAATTCTACCAAATACTTAAAGAATTAATACTAATCCTTCTCAGACTGTTCCAAAAAGCAGAGGAAATACTTCCAAACTGCTTTTACAAGGCCAGTAGTGCCCTGATACCAAAGCCACAAAAGAACACTACAAGAAAAGAAAATTATAGGAAATGACCCCTGATGAATATAGATGTGAAAATCTTCAACAAAATATGAGAACCTGAATTAAACAGCACATTAAAAGGATCATACAGGCTGGGCACGGTGACTCAGGCCTGTAATCCCAGCACTTTGGGAGGCCAAGGCAGGTGGATCACCTGAGGTCAGGAGTTCAAGGCCAGCCTGACCAATATGGTGAAACCCCATCTCTACTAAAAATACATAAATCAGCCAGGCATGGTGGTGTGCGACTGTAGTCCCAGCTACTCAGGATGCTGAGACAGGAGACTTGCTTGAACCCTGGAGGTGGAGAGTGCAGTGAGCTGAGATTACACCACTGCACTCCAGCCTGGGTGACAGAGTGAGAATCAATCTCAAAAAAAAAAAAAAATATATATATATATATATATATATACACACACACACACAAATTTGTTTAAGTTCCTTGTACATTCTGGATATTAGACCTTTGTCAGATGGATAGATTGCAAAAATTTTCTCCCATTCTTTAGGTTGTCTGTTCACTCTTATGATAGTTTCTTTTGCTATGCAGAAGCTCTTTAGTTTAATTAAATCCCATTCGTCAATTTTTGCTTTTGTTGCAATTGCTTTTGGCGATTTCATCATAAAATCTTTGCCCGTTAAAAAGTGGGCAAAGTACATGAACAGACACTTTTCAAAGAAAGACATACAGGCTGCCAACAAACATATGAAAAAAAGCTCAACATCATTGGTCATTAGAGAAATTCAAATCAAAACCACAATGAGATACTATCCCACGCCAGTCAGAATGATGATTGTTAAAAAGTCAAGAAACAACAGGTGCTGGCAAGGTTATGGAGAAATAGCAACACTTTTACACTGATGGTGAGAATGTAAATTGGTCCATCCATTGTGGGAGACAGTGTGATGAATCCTCAAAGATCTAGAGGCAGAAAACCATTTAACCCAGCAATCCCATTACTGGGTATATACCCAAAGGAATATAAATCATTCTGTTATAAACATATATGCACATGTATGTTCATTGCAGCACTACTCACAATAGCAAAGACATGGAATCATCCCAAATGCCCATCAGTGATAGACTGGATAAAGAAAATGTGGTACGTATACACCATGGAGTACTATGCAGCCATAAAAAGGAATGAGATCATGTCCTTTGCAGGGACATGGATGATGCTGGAAGCCATTATCCTCAGCAAACTAACACAGAAACAGAAAACCAAACACTGCATGGTCTCACTTATAAGTGGGATTTGAACAATGAGAACACATGGACACAGGGAGGGGAACAACACACACTGGAGCCTGTCAGGGGAGGGTGGGGGTGGGGAGAGCATTAGGGAAAAGATCTCATGCATGCTGGGCTTAATATCTAGGTGATGGGTTGATAGGTGCAGCAAACCACCATGGCATATGTTTACCTATGTAACAAGCCAGCACATCCTGCACATATACCCCAGAACTTAAAAAAAAAATTAAAAAGGATCATACAGCATGACCAAGTATTATTTATTTTTGAGATAAAAAGCTGGCTCAATATATGGAAATTACTAAATGTGATACACCATATTAACAGAATAAAAGATAAAAATCACGATTGTTTCAACAGATGCAAAAAGTTTGATAAAATTCAACACAACTTTTTTATTATTAGTATACTTTAAGTTCTGGGATACATGTGCAGAACGTGCAGATTTGTTACATAGGTATACACGTGCCATGGTGGTTTGCTGCACCCATCAACCCGTCATCTACATTAGGTATTTCTCCCAATGCTATCCCTCCCCTAGTCCCCCACCCCCTGAGAGGCCCGGATGTGTGATGTTCCCCTCCCTGTGTCCATGTGTTCTCATTGTTAAACTCCCACTTATGAGTGAGAACATGTGATGATTGGTTTTCTGTTCCTGTATTAGTTTGCTGAGAATGATGGTTTCTCTCAACTAATTAGGTATACAAGGAATATACCTCAAAATAAATAAGGTCATATATGATAAGCCCACAGCTAACATCATACTCAATGGTGAAAAACTGAAAGCTTTTCCTTTAAGATGAGCAATAACACAAGGTTTACCCTTCTTCCCACTTCCACATGTCACAGGACTAGAACCCCTAGTCAGGAAAATTAGACAAGAAAAAGAAATAAAATACATCCAATCAAGAAGTAAGAAGTAAAATTATCTCTGTTTGCAGATGACATATAGAAAATTTAAGGACCAAAAACAAAAAAACTGTTGGAAATAATACATGAATTCAGTAAAGTGGCAGGATACAAAATCTATATACAAAAATTACTTGCATTTCTATACATTAACAATAAATTAACCTAAAATGAAATTAATAAAACAATCCCATTTACAATAGCATCTAAAACTTCAATACTTGAGAATAAACATAACTAGGGAGGAGAAAGATTTGTATGATGAAAAGTATAAGACACTGATAAAAAATAAGGATGACACATGTAAATGTAAAGACATGTTGAGTTCATCATTTGGAATAATTAATATTGATAATATGTCCATACCACCAAAGCAATCTACAGATTCAATACTATCCCCATGAAAATTTCATTTTTTTTCAGAAATAGAAAAAACACTTCTAAAACTTACACGGCACCATAAAGACCCCAAGTAGACAAAATACTCATGAGCAAGAAGAACAAAACAAAAGTCATCACACTTCATTATTTCAAGCTGTAATACAAAGCTGCATTAATTAAAACAGTACGGTATTAGCATAAATGCAGGCATGTAGACCAATGGAACAAAATAGAGCACCTAACCTTAACCCACACATATATGCTCAAGTGATCTTCTACAATAGTGGCAAAAATACACAATGGGGAAAAATAGTCCCTTTAACAACTAGCATTGGAAAAAGTGGATATCCACATGCAACAAGATAAAATTGGACTCTTATACCATACACAAAAATTAACTCAAACTGGATTAAAGTTTTAATCATAATATCGGAAACTGCAAAACTCCTAAAAGAAAACATGGAGGAAAAGCTTTTGACTTTGTTCTTGGCAATGATTTCTTGGATATGACACCAAAAGTATAGGTAACTGAAGCAAAAATACATAGGTGGGACTACATAAAACTGAAAAGCTTCTTCACAGAAAGGAAAACAATTAACAGAGTAAAGAGACAACTTACAGAATGGAAATAGGAAATACAGTTGCAAACCATACATTGGATAAAGGGTTAATATCTGAAATATATAAGGAACTCAAACAACTGAGTAGCAAGAAAATGACCCAATTTAAAAATGGGCAAAAAACCTGAATAGACATTTCTCAAAAGAAGATATACAAATGTATAACAGGTGTATTTAAAAATGGTGATTCCTCAAGGATCTAGAACCAGAAATACCATTTGACCCAGCAATCCCATTACTGGGTATATACCCAAAGGATTATAATCATTCTACTATAAAGACACATGCACACGTATGTTTATTGCAGCACTGTTCACAATAGCAAAGACTTGGTACCAACCCAAATGCCCATCAATGATAGACTGGATAAAGAAAATGTGGCACATATACACCATGGAATACTATGCAGCCATTAAAAAGGATGAGTTCATGTCCTTTGCAGGGACATGGATGAAGCTGGAAACCATCACTCTCAGCAAACTAACACAGGAACAGAAAACCAAACACTGCATGCTCTCACTCATAAGTGGGAGCTGAACAATGAGAACACATGGATGCAGGGAGGGGAACATCATGCACCAGGGCCTGTCGGTAAGTGGGGGGCGAGGGGAGAGATAGCATTAGGAGAAATACCTAATGTAGATGATGGGTTGAATGGGTGCAGCAAACCACAATGGCACATATATACCTATGTGACAAACCTGCACGTTCTGCACATGTATCCCAGAACTTTAAGTATAATAAATAAAACAAAATAAAATAAAATAAAATTAAATTAAAAATGGTCAACACCTCTAATCATCAGAGAAATACCAATCAAAACCACAATGAGATATCACATCAAATCTGTTAGGAAGGCTATTACCAAAACAAAAAAAGATAAAAAGTGTTGGGTGCCCTTGAGCATTGTTGGTGGGAATGTAAATTGGTACGGTCATTGTGGAATACACTAGGGAAATTCCTCAAAAATTAGAAATAGAACTACCATACGATCCAGTAATCCCATCTTTGGGTACGTATCAGAAGGAGAGAGTAAAATGATGTTTGCCAGGGCCTGGGGGGAAAGGGAAAATTGGTAGTTCACTGGGTATGAAGTTTCAGTTCTGCAAGATAAATAAGTTCAAGAGATCTGCTATACAACATAGTGCCTATAGTTAACAACACTGTATTGTGCACTTAAAAATTTTGTTGAGTGGGTAGATCTCATGTTAAATGTTCTTACCTACCTCTCACCCACCAAAAAGAAGGAAGTAAATTTAAGGATACCTGTAGAATCACTGGAGCAGTCACTAAAAAATAATGCAAAGTGAGCTGGCTGGAAGCAATAGATAAATTAAAATGCAATTCTAAAACAATATCTAATTAACCCAAGTTAACACAGGAAAAGAGTAAAAGGAAACAAGAAATTGATTCTCCAAATAGAAAATGAATATTAAATGATAGATCTGAGTAAATGATCCAACCATATCAATAATTATATTAAATGTAAATCTATCAAATACTCCAACTAAAGGATATAAATTATCAATATGGAATAAAAAATGCAAGACCAAACTATATGCTATCTATTTGCACTTTATATTTAAGACAGGTAGGTTGGAAGTAAAAGGGTTGAAAAAAATACTATGCCAGCAATAAGCATAAAAACGCTGAGGAAGCGTAAAGTCAGCAAGACGGCAGACTACCTTTCAGCACTTATCCCCTCTCAGAACATCAATTTGAATAACAATACATACATGAAAATATCTTTATAAATCCTAAGGAATCCAAATGATAGATTACAGAACCTGGGTGGAGCACAGAAATAAGAAAAGATGCATAGATGAGGGTAATAAGAACAGTTTTACATTACTCCATCACCCCTTCCCCATGTGTGTATAGTGCAGTTTGGATATACCCTCAATATGTGGGAAGGAGACTGAAGTGAGCACATGACTTCACTGCAGACCCCAGCACCAGGACCACCCCAGTGTTCCTGGGCACCAGGTCAACCCTTACAAACCCAGACTTCAGGCCCTCCCGACTGCCACATGTACCCAGTCTCCAGAAAGATCTCCACAACCTAGGCTCCAGGCACACTCCAGTGCCAGACCTGCCTCCATGGCCCCAGGCTCCAGGCCCACTGATGAGAACTAATAAGCCAATGTAGTAAAGTTGCAGGAAACAAATTCAACAGGAAAAAGCAGTTAATAGTTCTACAGAGTAACAACAAACTATCTGAAAAAGAAATTAAGAAAATAATCCCATTTATAATAGCAAAAAAAATACTTAGGTGTAAATTTAACTAAGGAGGTGAAATATCTGGACACTGAAAATTATCAAACATTGATGAAAAAATTAAAGAAGACAAAATAAATGGAAATATATCACATGCTCATTATTTGGAAGAATTAATATTTTAAAATTTTCCATACATTCAAAGTGATCTACAGATTCAATGCAATTCCTATCAAAATTCCAATGCCTTTTTTTTAAAGAAATAGAAAAAAATCCTAAAATTTGTATAAAAGCACAAAAGACCCTGAATAGCCAAAGCAATCTTGAGGAAGAAGAACAAAACTGGAGTCATCACACTACCTGATTTCAAAACATACCAAAAAGCTATAGTAATCAAAACAGAATGGTACTGGCCTAAAAGTAGACAAATAGACCAAAGGAACAGAATAGAGAGATCAGCGATAAATCTGCACATTTATAGTCAATTGATCTTTGACAAAGCAGCCAAGAACACACAATGGGGAAAGGATATTCTCTTCAATAAATGG
This sequence comes from Homo sapiens, assembly GCF_000001405.40. NCBI lineage: Eukaryota > Metazoa > Chordata > Mammalia > Primates > Hominidae > Homo > Homo sapiens. The sequence continues at coordinate 152,466,445 of NC_000023.11, forward strand.
TGCTTGGAAAACTGGACCTCCACTTGTAGAAGAATAAAATTGGACACTTATCTTACACCATATGCAAAAATAGACTCAAAATAGAATATAGACTTAAATGTAATACCCGAAACTGTAATATTCCTAGAAGAAAACATAGGAAAAAATTTTCTTGACAGTGTTCCAGGCAATACTCTCTTGGATATTACCTCAAAAGGACACAACCCAAAAGCGAAAATAGACAAATGAGGCTACATGAAATAAAAAAAGCTTCTGCATAGCAAATCAAATTATCAGCAGAATAAAAAGACTATGGAATGGAAGAAAATGTTTTTAAACCACATTTCTGAGATGGGGTTAATATTTAAAATGTATTAGGAATTTAAACAACTCAATAGCAAGAAAACAAATAACATAATTAAAAATGGGCAAAGGACATTTCTCAAAAAAACACATACAAATTGCCAATAGGTGTAATAAAGTATGTTCAACACCACCAATTATCAGGGAAATGCAAATCAAAACCACAATAAGATATCACCACACCTGTTAGGATGGCAATTATCACAATGACAAAAAAAAAAGAGTTGGTAAAGGTGTGGAGAAAAGGGCACCCTTGTACACTGTTGATGAGAATGTAAATGGGCAGTTTCATTGTGGAATACAGTATGGAGTTCCTGAAAAGCTAAAAATAGAACTACTATATGATCCAGTAGTCCCACCTCTGGGTATATAACCAAAGGAAATGAAATCAGAATCTGGAAGAGATGTCTTCATTCTTATGTTCATTTGAGAATTATTAACAATAGCCAATATATGGAAGCAAACTGAGTGTCCATCAATGGATGAATAAAGAAAATGTGGTGTACATATATATAGTGTTCATTTATATATGATTATATATTATATACACATGTGTATATATTGTATATGTATATATACACACACATATATAATGGCACTATTCAGTTTTTTAAAAAGAAAATCCTCTCGATTGCAACAACATGTATGAACCTGGAGGACGTTATGTTAAATGAAATAACCTAGGGACAAAAAGACACATACTGCCTGATGTCACTTACGTGTGGAATCTAAAAAGTCAAACTCGTAGAACCAGACAGAAGGATGGTGGTTGCCAGGATACGGGTGAGGGAAAATGGGGCGACATTGGTCAAAGAGTACAAAGTTTCAGTTATGCAAGATGAACAAGTTCTGGGGATCTAATGTATGGCATGGTGACTGTAGTTAATAGTACTATATATGTACTCAAAATTAACTGAGAGTAGACTTTAAATATTTTCACCTCAAAAAAATTGTAACTATGTGAGCTAATGGATACGTTAATTAGCTTTATTGTGGTAATCATTTCACAATGTATACATATATCAAAACATCACATGGTGAAATTTAAACATATATAATTTTTGTCATTTATACCTCAATAAAGCTGGAAAAATAAATGAGCTAATACACAGGGACTGGGGAGAGGGAAGAGTTACAGGCAGAGAACAGAGGAATTTTAGAGCAGTGCAACTACTCTGTATAATACCATAATGGTGGATACATAGCATTACACATTTCTGTCCAAATTCATAGAATGCACAATATCAAGAGTAAATCCTGTCTGGGTACAGTGGCTCACAGCACTTTGGGAGGCTGACGCTGGTGGATTGCTTGAGCCCAGGAGTTCAAGACCAGTCTGAGAAACATGGCAAAACCCCATATCCACAAAAATGAGCCGGGCACGGTGGCCCGTACCTGTAGTCTCAGATACTCAGGAGGCTGAGCTGGGAGGATCACTTGATCCTGGGAAGCAGATGCTGCAGTGAGCCGAGATCTTGCCACTGCACTCCAGCCTGGGTGACAGAGCCAGATCCTGTAAACAAGCAAACAAACAAACAAAAACACACAGAGTAAATCCTAACGTAAATTATGGACTTGAGGTGATAATGATGTGTCAATGTAGGTTTATCAATTGTAAGGAAGGTATCACTTAGATGGCAGATGTTGATAATCAAGAAAGTTTTGCATGTGAGGAGGCAGAGGGTATATAGGAACTCCGTACCTTCTGCTCAATATTACTGTGACCCTAAAACTTCTCTAAAAAATAAAGACTATTTTTAAAAGTCTGGATTTGCTACATGGATATCAAAGAGAGCAGGCTTCAAAACAAAGTCTTAACAGACTTATTTATTGCTAGATATATAAAAAGTGATTTCATAATAATAAAATATTTAATTCATGAAGACGACAAAATAATCAAATGTGATGAATAACAGAGCTTCAAAATAGAAAATGCAAAATTTGACAAAATTAGAGAGAAAAAATCCACAGGCCGAAGTGCAAATTTTAGTATGTCTTTCTCAGGAAATGATAGAAGAACTGATCAAAAGAAAACAGTAACAGAAACACTATAGTGATCAACACTCTCAGCAAATTTGAACTTACTGGAATTTATAAAATAGTACACTAGCAGCTACAAGATATACATTATTTTTTAGAATTATGGCATATCAAATATGAAAGAATATTACTGGGCCAAAAAGTAATTCTCAAGATTAGTCAAAATACTGAAATCCTACAGAGTATGTTAACTGATAACAATTCAATGAAATATTGTTTTTGTCCAAGAGAAATGAAAGCATAAGTTCACAAAAAGTTTCATACAATACACGATGAAATACTATTCAACCTTAAAAAAAATGAGAAAATCCTGTCATTTATGACAACATGAATGAACCTGAAGGACATAATACTACGTGAAATAAGCTGGCCACATAAAGACAAAAGCTGCATGATCTCACTTATATGTAAAATCTAAAAATGTCAGCCTCATTGGAGCACAGAATAGAATGGTGGTTACCAGAGGCTACAGAGTGAAGGGGGGATAGCAAAAGTGAAGATGTTGGCCAAAGGATACAAAGCTTCAGTTAGAAAGGAAGAATAAATTTTAGTGATCTATTGCACAACATGATAACCATAGTTGATAATAATGTATTCTATATTTTTTGACTGCTAAAAGTGGATTTTAAAATTCTCACCTCATTAAAAATAAGTGAGGTGATGAATACGTTAATTAGCTTGATTTTCTATTTCTACAATTGTTGCATATATGAAAGTGTCATACTGTACCCCATAAAGACATACAATTATTTGTCAACTTGAGATTTTAAATGGGGAAGTAAAGAAAATAAATGTATGAAAACATATTGAAAACTAAAAAATGATTATATTGGTCAAATAATAAACACTTAGAAAGTACAAAATTTTTAAAATCCATAATTACACTTATAATTGTACATTAAGTTCATAATTTTATATATACAGTCGTCCTCAATATCCATGGGCAGTTGGTTCCAGGACCCATCACAGATACCAAAATCCACAGATGGTCAAGTCCCTGACCTAAAATAGTATACTATTTGCATATAACATATGCACATCCTTCCATATACTTTAAGTTATCACTAGTTTATTTGTAATACCTAATACAATGTGAATGCTATGTAACTAGTTGTTATACTATATTGCTTCAGGAATAATGACAAGAAAAAATATCTACATGTGCTCAGTACAGACAAAACCATCATTTTTGTTTTTCAAATATTTTTGATCTGCAGTTGGTTGAATCCATGGAGGCAGAACCCACAGGGCCAACTGTATTTGTACATGAAAATTCAAATAAATCTACAATATAATACCAACACTAATAAGTAATATAGCATAAAAGGTCAATATACAAAAATCAATTGTGTTTTAGTTATTAGAAACAACCATTGAAAAATGAAACTTCAAAGAACAAGACTAATAACAACAGTATCAGGAGTAAATGGCATTGAAATACATTTAACAAAAGATGCACAATACTGTTATATGGAAAACTACATAAGTTTCTAAGAAAAATTAAGAAAGATCTAAATAAAAAGATAATACCATGTTTGTGATTGTAAGACTTAATGTTAAGATATCAATTTTCCCCAAATTTGATGATAAATTCAACACAATTACCTAGCAGGATTTTTATAGAAAAATTTTTTTTCAAAATTATGATGCTGAGTAAAATTTTTATATAAATTGATAAATTTATTCTAAACTCCATAAGGCAACACAAAATTCTTAATTAATGTAAAGATACATTAACTAAGACAGTGTGGTATTAGCATAATAGAAAAATAAATAAGTTGAACAAAATATAGAGTCCAGAAATAAACTGACACATATACCATCAATTGATTCTCAATAAAGTCCTCAAAGCAATTCAATTGGAGATAAGAATGTCTGCAATAAATGGTGCTGAAACAACTGGATATTCCTGTGGAGGAAAAAATGAAACTTAACCTTCCCTCACACCATACTCCCAAATTATGTTGAGAATGATTATAGATATCAGTGTGGAAGCTGGAATTATAAAGCTTCTGAAAGAAAATAGGAAAATGTCTTCAAGGCTTTGAGGTAGGCTAAGGTTTCTTAGATACGCATAAGGGCAATATCCATAAAACAAAACAAATGATAAATTAGGTCTCAACAAATTTTAAAACCTTTGTTCAACAAAACACACCATTAAGAACGTGCAATAGCAGTCACAGGATGGAAGAAAATATTTTAATATATATATGTGACAAAGACCTCATATCTGGAAAATATAAAGAATTCTACAAAACAATAATAAGGTTAATAAACAACAAAAATTGGCAAAATATTTCAATATACACTGCACTAAAGAATATAGATAGCTTAAAGAAAAAAACAATAAAAATTCAGGAAACTGTGGACACACTTTTAGAAACGCATAATGCTCTGGAAAGTCTCAGCAATAGAATCAAACAAGTAGAGGAAAGAAATTCAGAGCTTGAAGACAAGGTCTTCAAACTAACTCAATCCAACAAAGACAAAGAAAAAAGAACAAGAAAATATGAACAAAGCCTCCAAGAAGTTTGGGATTATGTTAAATGACCAAACCCAAGAATAATCGGTGTTCTTGAGGAAGAAGACAATTCTAAAAGCTTGGAAAACATATTTGGGGGAATAATCAAGGCAAACTTCCCTGGCCTTGCTAGAGACCTAGACATGCATATACAAGAAGCACAAAGAACACCTCGGAAATTCATCCTCAAAAGATCTTCATCTAGGCACATTTTCATCAGGTTATCCAAAGTTAAGAGGAAGGAAAAAATCTTAAGAGCGGTGAGACAGAAGCACCAGGTAACCTATAAAGGAAAACCTACCAGATTAACAGCAGAAATCTCAGCAGAAACCTTACAAGTTAGAAGGGATTGGGGCCCTATATTCAACCTCCTCAAACAAAACAATCTTCAGCCAAGAATTTTGTATCCAGTGAAAGTAAGCATCATATATGAGGAAAAGATAGTCATTTTCAGACAAACAAATGCAGAGAGAACTTGCCATTACCAAGCCACCACTGTAAGAACTTCAAAAAGGAGCTCTAAATCTTGAAACAAATCCTGGAAACACATCAAGACAGAATATCTTTAAAGCGTAAAGCACACAGGACCTATAAAAAAATAGAAGTTAAAAAGCAAGAACAAAAAACAAAGTATGCAGGCAACAAAGAGCATGATGAATGCAACCCTACCTCACATTTCAATACTAACATTGAATGTAAATGTCCTAAATGTTCCACTTAAAAGATACAAAACTGCAGAATGGATAAGAACTCACCAACCATCTGCTGCCTTCAGGTGACTCACTTAACACATAAGGACTCATAAAAACTTAAAGTAAAGGGGTGGAAAAAGGCATTTCATGCAAATGGACACCACAAGCAAGCAGGGGTAGCTACTCTTATGTCAGACAAAACAAATTTTAAAGCAACAGCGAGACAAAGAGGGACGTTATATAATGGTAAAAGGCCTTGTCTAACAGTAAAATACCACAATCCCAAACATATATGTACCTAACACTGGAGCTCCCAAATTTATTAAAAAAATTACTAATAGACCTAAGAAATGAGATAGCAACACAATAAAAGTGGGAGACTTTAATACTCCACTGACAGCATTAGACAGGCCATCAAGAAAGAAAGTTAACAAAGAAACAATGGATTTAAACTACACCTTGGAACAAATGGACTTAACAGATATATACAGAACACTTCATCCAACAACAGAATACAGATTCTATTAAACAGCCTATGGAACTTTCTCCAAGATAGACCATATGATAGGCCATAAAACGAGTCTCGATAAATTTAAGAAAATTGAAATTATATCAAGCACTCTCTCATACCACAGTGGATTTAAACTGGAAATTAACTCCAAAAGGAACCCTCAAAACAATGCAAATACATGGAAATTAAATAACCTACTCTTGAATGAGCATTGAGTCAAAAACGAAATCAAGATGGAAATCAAAAAATTATTCAAACTGGATGGCAATAATGACACAACCTATCAAAACCTATGGGATACAGCTAAGGTGATACTAAGAGAAAAGCTCACAGCCCTAAATGCATATATCAAAAAGTCTGAAAGAGCACAAACAGACAATCTAAGGTCACGCCTCAAGGAACTAGAGAAAGAAGAACAAACCAACCCAAACCCAGCAGAAGAAAGGAAATAACCAAGATCAGAGCAGAACTAAATGAAATTGAAATAACAACAACAACCAAAAAAAGTACAACAGATAAATGAAACAAAAAGCTGGTCCTTTGAAAAGATAAATAAGATTGATAGACCATTAGCAAGATTAGCCAAGAAAAGAAGAGAGAAATCCAAATAACCTCACTGAGAAATGAAACAGGAGATATTACGACTGATACCACTGAAATACAAAAGATCATTCAAGGCTACTATGAACACCTTTATACACATAAACTAGAAAACTTAGAAGAGATAAATAAATTCCTGGAAAAATACAACCATCCTAGCTTAAATTAAGAAGAATTAGATACCCTGAACCGACCAATAACAAGCAGCAAGATTGAAATGGTAATTAAAAAATTACCAACAACAAAAAAAGTCCAGGACCAGATGGATTCACAGCAGAATTCTACCAGTCATTCAAAGAATTGGTACCAATCTTTTTGACACTATTCCACAAGACAGAGAAATAAGGAACCCTTCCTAATTCATTCTATGAGCCAGCATCACCCTAATACCAAAACCAGGAAAGGATACAACCAAAAAAGAAAGCTACAGACTGATATCCTTGATGAATGTAGATGCTAAAATCCTTAGCAAAGTACTAGCTAACCGACTACAATGACATATCAAAAAAATAATCCACCATGACCAAGTGGGTTTCATACCAGAGATACAGGGATGGTTTAACATACACAAGTCAATAAATGTGATTCACCACATAAACAGAATTAAAAGCAAAAATCACATGATCATCTCAATAGATGCAGAAAAAGCATTTGACAAAATCCAGCATCCCTTTATGATCAAAACCCTCAGCAAAATTGGCATACAAGGGAACTACCTTAATGTAACAAAGGCACTTATGACAAACCCACAGCCAATATAATAATGAGTGGAGAAAAGTTGAAAGCATTCCCCCTGCGAACGAGAACAAGACAAGAATGCCTGCTCTCACCACTCCTCTTCAACATAGTACTGGAAGTCTTAGCCAGAGCAATCAGACTAGAAAAAGAGATAAAGGGCGTCGACATTGGTAAAGAGGACGTCAAACTGTCCCTGTTTGCTGACGATATGATTGATTACCTTGAAAACCCTAGAAAGCTCCAGAAACCTCCAGAAAGCTCCTAGAACTGATAAAAGAATTCAGGAAAGTTTCCAGATCCAAGATTAATATACACAAAACAGTAGCTCTTCTATACACCAACAGTGACCAAGTGGAGAATCAAATTAAGAACTCAACCCCTTTTACAATAGCTGCAAAAATAAATAAATAAATAAATAAATAAATAAATAAATAAATAAATAAAATACTTAGGAATATACCTAACAAAGGAGTCAAAAGACCTCTGCAAGGAAAACTACAAAACACTGCTAAAAGAAATCATAGATGACACAAACAAATGGAAACAGATCCCAGGCTCATGGACGGGTAGAATCAATATTGTGAAAATGACCACACTGCCAAAAGCAACCTATAAATTCAGCACAATCCCCATCAAAATACCACCATCATTCTTCACGGAGTTAGAAAAACACAATTCTAAAATTCATATGGAACCAAAAAAGAGCCCTCATAGCCAAAGCAAGACTAAGCAAAAAGAACAAATCTGGAGGCATCACACTACCTGATTTCAAACTATAGTATAAGGCCATAGTCACCAAAACAGTGTGGTACTGATATAAAAATAGGCACATAGATCAATGAAACAGAATAGAGAACCCAGAAATAAACCCCAAATTCTTAAGCCAACTGATCTTCCACAAAGCAAACAAAAACACAAAGTGGGGAAAGGACACCGTATTCAACAAATGGTCCTGGGATAATTGGCTAGCCAAATGTAGGAGAATTAAACTGGATCCTCATCTCTCACCTTATACAAAAATCAGCTCAAGATGGATTAAGGACTTAAACCTAAGACCTGAAACTATAAAAATTCCAGAAGACAACATTGGAAAAACCCTTATAGACATTGGCTTAGGCAAGGATTTCATGAACAAAAACTCAAAAGCAATTGCAATAAAAACAAAGATAAATAGCTGGGACTTAATTAAACTAAAGAGCTTTTGCACGGCAAAAGGAACAGTCAGCAGAGTAAACAGACAATCCACAGAGTGGGAGAAAATCTTCACAATCTATACATCTGACAAAGGACTAATATCCAGAATCTACAATGAACTCAAACAAATCAGTAAGAAAAGAAAAACACACAAAACAAAACAAAACAAAATCAATCCCATAAAAAAGTGGGCTAAGGACGTGAATAGAAAATTCTCAAAAGAAGATATACGAATGGCCAACAAGCATATGAAAAAATGCTCAACATCACTAATGAGCAGGGAAATGCAAATCAAAACCACAATGTGATACTACCTTAGTCCTGTAAAAATGGCCATAATCAAAGAATCAAAAAACAGTAGACGTTGACGTGGATGCGGCGATTAGGGAACACTTCTACACTGCTAGTGGGAATGTAAACTAGTACAGCCAGTATGGAAAACAGTGTGGAAATTCCTTAAAGAACTCAAAGTATAACTACCATTTGATCAAGCAATCCCACTACTGGGTATCTACCTAGAGGAAAAGAAGTCATTGTTCCAAAAAGAGTCTTGCACACACATGTTTATAGTAGCACAATTCACAATAGCAAAATCGTGGAACCAACCCAAATGCCCATCAATCAACGAGTGGATAAAGAAACTCTGGCATATATATACGAAGGAATACTACTCAGCCATAAAAAGGAATGAATTAACAATAATGACCTGGATGAGATTAGAGACTAGTATTCTAAATGAAGTAACTCAGCAATGGAAAACCAAACATCGTATGTTCTCACTGATATGTGGGAACTAAGCTATGAGGATGCAAAGGCGTAAGAATTATACAACGGACTTTGGGGACTTGGGGGGAAAAGTGCAGGGGGGCAAGGGATAAAGGACAACAAATATGGTGCAGTGTATACTGCTCGGGTGATGGGTGCACCAGGTTGTCACAAATCTCTATTAAAGAACTTATGTAACCAAGTACCACCTGTACCCCAACAACCTATGGAAAAATAAAATTTTAAAAATAATATATATAAAGATATACAAATGCCCAAGAAACAAGGAGAAGGTACATTACAAGTCATCATAGAAAATCTAATTAAAACTATAATCAAATATCACTACACATTCACAAGAAAGGGAAAAACGTCAAATTACATTCACTGATTGTCAATAGAAAGTGTTGTCAAGGATGTGAAGCAACTGGACCTGTCATACATGAAAGGTGGAAGTTTAAAATAGTGCAGCCACTTTGAAAAAGTCTGCGTCAGTTTCTCAAACATACCTACACCTATAATCCAGCAATTCTACTCATATGTATATAACCAATAGACTGGAAATCATATGTTCACAAAAAAACTTGAGCAAGAAAGTTCATAACAACTTTATTCACAATAGCTAAAAATTGGGGGAAAAAACAAAGTCCACAGCAGTGTAATCGATAAACAAACTGTGGTACAGTCATACAGGCTCTATTTAGTACTAAAATGAACGAACTACTGATAAATGCAACAACAGGTATGGATCTCAAAACTGTGATGATGAGTGAAAGAAGCGACACAAAAAGGAATATATACCCTATGATTTCATTTATATGAAGTGCAGGAATAGGCAAAATTCATCTATGATATGAGAATGGTCACTTAAAGGATGGGATAGTGACTGGAAAGGGCACAAGGGAACTTTCTGGGGTCATGGAATATTCTTTACCTCGATCAGGGTGATGGTCACATTAATGTATTCATTTGTTAAAATTAATCTTTTTGTTTAAGATTTGTGGTTTTCATTACATGCGATTATATCTCAATAAAACAGTGAGAAAACCAAAACAAGAGGATCACTTGAATATTCCTATAACTATCAAAGAAACTAAAAACTAAACATCTCCCACAGAGAAAATCTAGGCCAAAATGGCTTTGCTGCAATTTCCAGCAATAATTCAAGAAGAAAGTAATTACGATCTAACAAAACCTCTTCCATAGAATAAATAAAGGTATAACACTCCCAAAATTATTTTTTTTGAGGCTAGCATAACCTTGAGATCAAAACCTGACAAGGACTGTATGAACAAATAAAATTATATGCCATTCTGACTCATGGCCATGAATGAACAAATCCTTTAAAATGTTCATAAATCATATCCACCAATATCTAAACAGCCTAATACATCACGACCTAGCTGGATTTATCCCAGGAAGGCAATTCTGGTTAAAATTTTTAAAATGTAATTCAGCACATTCATATTTTAGAGAACAAAATTTTGATTATATAAAGAGGCATAAGCAAAAAGTTCTTGATAAAATTTAATATATACCAAAAAATACAAAACAAAGGATACAAGGGAACTTAATATGATACAATGTATCTAGAAATATCTATTCAAAATATTACACTTATCTGTAATATATTAAAATACTGGCCTTTGAGATTGGGGATGTAACAAAATGGCTGCCATCATCACTACTATTCACCATTATAGTGGAGGTCCTAGACAATTCAACACATTAATAAGAATAGAAGTATGCAAAAAGAAGTGTAAAACTGTCGTTTATATATTATATAATTGAGTACATAAAAATTCTTTAAAAATCTATGGATAAACTGTTACATTTACAGTGGGACTTTAGTAAAATTGCTGGATACAAAAACAATATATGAAAAATAATTTTTTAGTCCTATAAGTGAATAAGAAACATTTAAATCATTGAAAGATCCTAGTTATAATAGCATCAAAAATATCTATTCAAAGGCCAGGTGCAGTGGCTCACGCCTGTAATCCCAGCACTTTTGGAGGCCGAGGCGGGTGGATCACCTGAGGTCGGGAGTTCAAGACCAGCCTGACCAACATGGAGAAACCCCGTCTGTACTAAAAATACAAAATTAGCCGGGGTGGTGGTGCATGCCTGTAATCCCAGCTACTCAGGAGGCTGAGGCAGGAGAATCGCTTGAACCCGGGAGGCGGAGGTTGCGGTGAGCCGAGATGGCGCCATTGCACTCCAGCCTGGGCAAAAAGAGCGAAACTACATGTCAAAAAAAAAAAAAATCTATTCAAATATGCTTCTGAATAAAAGTATGTGAGAGGCAACAATCTTCTACAACTACAAAAAACTGGATGATTTACAAAAATCATCATGTTAAAGGTACCAAATAGTGGTGGAAACAAAGATTAAATAAATTAAAATTTCAAGGAGAGAGAATCTTTTCCACTATAAGCTGACAATCTTCAACTATTTTTCTCCTTTGGAAAATTTACCAACTCTGAGAATAGGCTGAGGACCAGGCTTATTCAGACAAAGAGCCTCTGCTCGCAGAGAGAAAAAACAGCAAAGCTTTTAGCAGTTTGACAAGGCTGGTATGACAAATACAAAAGCTGATGATACTCAAGTGCTCAGCAGATTTTCCCCACTGAACATTTGCTGACTTCTGGCATAGTTGGGTAAAATACTTGTAAAAAGGTGAAGCAAAATCTTCAGCAATCACCCAGTTCTTAGGAAACAAGCATGTGCCAGAATTTGAAACTCCAGGAGGCTGCAAGTTGTGAATAGCAGATCTGGATTTTCCAGGCTTTCAGAGATTACAAAATAGAAATCTACCATGCTCTTACATCCTAGGGAAAAGAAGCAAACCAGACGTAGACTGAGTTTTAATAAAACTGCACTCTAGCCCTCATCATGAATAATTTCTGACTGGATTAAATTAAGCATATGCTCAACTTATGTGCCTAAAAGGGGAAAAGTGGAACTGTCTCTGGAATATCTCATCTGAAGCCTCTACAATTTTTTATACATGGTGCGTGACATGCAATAAAAATATTACTAGATACACAAAGAGGTAAAAAATATGACATGTAAATCAAAATAAAAGATGAAAAAAGATGCAGAAACACACATGATCTGGATAGTATCTGGATAGTGAAATCACGAGAAAATGACTTTAAAATTAACTATGACTAATATTTTTAAAAGAAGTAAAGAAAAAGTTAAATAAAATATGTGAAAGAACCAAGAACTGTAATAGATAATTTGAATTAATGGAACTAAAAATCAACTGGATATCTTACAATGAAAAAACTAGGAACTCAGTGCGTGGGATTAATGGGAGATGTGACACAAAAGAACAGGTTTGTATAACTCCAAAATTATAGAAAATATTAAAATTGAAGCACAAGAACAAAAATAATCGGGAAAAAAAGATAGAGCATAAGACATATGTAGGACAGAGTAAAAAAACAACTAACAAATATGGAATGGGAGAAGAGAAAGAATAGGGCAGGAGCAATACCTAAAGAAATAATATTCAAAAAGTTTACAAAATTAATAAAAGACATACACCCACAGAATCAAAAAACTCAGTGAATCATAAACAGGATAAATAAAAAGAAAACCACACCTAGGCACATCATAGTCAAGTTGTTAAAAAAAACAAAGAGACCAAGAAGCAGCTTCTCTGCTCCTTCTGGAATCTCTGCCTGGTTCAGCCCACCTGCCTCCACTCCTGCCTCCACCATGTCCATCAGGGTGACCCAGAAGTCGTACAAGGTGTCCACCTCTGGCACACGGGCCTTCAGCAGCCGCTTCTACACGAGTGGGCCCGGTGCCCGCATCAGCTTCTCCAGCTTCTCCCGAGTGGGCAGCAGCAGCTTCTGGGGTGGCCTGGGCGGAGGCTATGGTGGGGCCAGCGGCATCGGAGGCATCACCGCCGTCATGGTCAACCAGAGTCTGCTGAGCCGCCTTAACCTGGAGGTGGACCCCAACATCCAGGCCGTGCGCACCCAGGAGAAGGAGCATATCAAGACCCTAGGCAAATTTGTCTCCTTCATCGACAAGGTACCGTTCCTGGAGCAGCAGAACAAGATGCTGGAGACCAAGTGGAGCCTCCTGCAGCAGCAGGAGATGGCTCAGAGCAACATGGACAACATGTTCGAGAGCTACATCAACAACCTTAGGCGGCAGCTGGAGACTCTGGGCCAGGAGAAGCTGAAGCTGGAGACGGAGCTTGGCAACATTCAGGGGCTGGTGGAGGACTTCAAGGACGAGAATGAGGATGAGATCAATATGCGTAAAGAGATGGCAAATGAATTTGTCCTCCTCAAGAAGGATGTGGATGAAGCTGACATGAACAAGGTAGAGCTGGAGTCTCGCCTGGACGGGCTGACTGACGAGATCAACTTCCTCAGGCAGCTGTATGAAGAGGAGATCCGGGAGCTGCATTCCCAGATCTCGGATACGTCTGTGGTGCTGTCCGTGGACAACAGCCCTCCCTGGACATGGAAAGCATCATCGCTGAGGTCAAGGCGTAGTACGAGGTGATCGCCAACCGCAGCCTGGCTGAGGCTGAGAGCATGGACCAGGTCAAGTATGAGGAGCTGCAGGTGCTGGCTGGGAAGCAGGGGGATGACCTGCGGCATACAGACTGAGATCTCCGAGATGAACCGGAACATCAGCTGGCTCCAGGCTGAGACTGAGGGCCTCAAAGGCCGGATGGCTTCCCTGTGGAGGCCGCCATCGCAGATGCCGAGCAGCTTGGGGAGCTGGCCGTTAAGGATGCTAACGTCAAGCTGTCCGAGCTGGAGGCCACCCTGCAGCGGGCCAAGCAGGACATGGCGAGGCGGCTGCGTGAGTACCAGGAGCTGATGAACGTCAAGCTAGCCCTGGACATCGAGATCGCCACCTACGGGAAGCTGCTGGAGGGCGAAGAGAGCCAGCTAGAGTCTGGGATGCAGAACATGAGTATTCATATGAAGACCACCAGCGGTTTTGCAGGTGGTCTGAGCTCGGCCTATGGGGGCCTCACAAGCCCCGGCCTCAGCTACGGCCTGGGCTCCAGCTCTGGCTCTGGCGCGGGCTTCAGCTCCTTCAGCCGCACCAGCTCCACCAGGGCCCCGGTTGTGAAGAAGATCGAGACCCGCGATGGGAAGCTGGTGTCCGCGTCCTCTGACGTCCCGCCCAAGTGAACAGCTGCGGCAGCCCCTCCCACCCTGCCCCTCCTGCGACTTGCCCAGAGCCCGGGAGGGAGGCCGCTGTGCAGGGGAGCACAGGGAACAGAAGACACACCTGAGGCTCGGCTCTAGCCCTCAGCCCACCCTCGGCGGAATTCACTGCCTGAGGACCACCCTTGCCCATGCCTCCAACTACAAAACAATTCAATTGCTTTTTTTTCGTCCAAAATAAAACCTCAGCTAGCTCTGCAAAAAAAAAAAAAAAAAAAAAAAAAGATACAGAATCTTTAAAGCAACCAGAGGAATAAAAGACACCGCATTTAGAAGAACAACTGGAAAACGGAAGGCAGAATTCCCAAAAGAAACAAGGTCAGTCAGAAGGTAATGTTATAACATTTTTTAAGTGCTAAAGTAAAAATAAGCACATAGAACTACCAACATATAATTCTACACCCAAAGAAAATATTATTCAACAATGTGGGTGAAATAAAGAGGCTTTCATATGAACAAATATTAAAGGAATTCCTCACCAGCAGACCAACACTGAAAGAAAACAAGACAAAAACAAAGAAAATTCTTCAGTCAAAAGGAAAATTATGCTAGATGGAAACATGAAAATGCAAAAGGGCATGAAGAACACCGGAGAGAATAAATACATGGGTAAAAGTAAATATATATTTAGATTGCATAAAACAGTAATTAGAATATTTTGTACAGTCTATATGCAAAATGAAATGTGAAGTGAAAATACTTGACAAAAATAATGCAGGAGGGTGAAAAAAGGGGTAAGCACTGTTTAAAGTTTCTAGTAGCATAAAGATGTGGTATAAATAGTTTGTATTTGACTGTAATAAGTCAAAAATTCTTGCTGTAATTTCTAAGGTCGCTACTAAAATAGCGGAAGAAGATATAACTGACAAATTAATAGAAAAAAACATTCTAAATAGAAACATTGACTATGCTAAAAGAAGGCAAGAATGGAAGTAAAAGGGAATATGAAACAGGTGATTCAAATAGAAACTTGATGATTTTGTGGCAAATATATTCTAAACCAAATTATATATCAGTAATTAAATTTAATAAAAATAAGTCAAATATTTACAAGTAAAATATTAAGATGGTCAGAATGGATTTTTAAACCCAAATATATGCTAGTTACAAGAAATATAGCTTAAATATTAACATGGCAAAAGTTTAATATAAAAGGAATGAAGAGAAGTCATGAACCAAAAAAACAGATAATGAAACTGTAATCAGGAAAATCAAGAAGCAATACTAGAGAAAAACAAAGTTATTTCATAATTATAAAAGGATCAATAAAACAAGAAGACATTATCATAGTCCTCTGTGGGAAGTGTTAAAGACTTTGTGGACATCTTCAACCTACCTCAAGTCTCAATCAAGATAACAGCAGAGATTTTTGTGGAAACTGACAAGCTGATTCTAAAATCCATGTAGAAAAGCAAAAAGCTAAAATAGTCAGAGGCAATCTTGAAAAAAAAAGAACACATCTGGAAGACCTACACTACCATATATCAAGCTATGGTAAATAAGAACTGTGGTATTAGTGCAAGGATATACTAACTGGAATGGTTATAGATATAATGGAATAAAGAATTCAGGCAAATATTATCACCCAATTTTTTTTTCATAAAGGTGACATTGCAGTGCAGAGGTGAAAGTGTAGTCTTTCAAATAAATAGTGCCATATTAAATGCACACTTATATGGAAAAAACTGCAATTATATCACAAAGTCACACCATACGAATTGCAAATGAGTTGAAAAATTTTATGTCAGAAGTAAAATAATAAATATTTTATAGAAAATATCTTTAAGGATAACCTCTTTGTGACTTTGGTATAGGCAAAGTTTTTTTAAAAAAAAATAGGACACAAAAAACACTAACCATTAAAGAAAGAAATGGTAACTTAGACCACACTAAAATTAAGATCTGTTCATCAAAAACACCAATAAAAAATGAAAAGGTAATCCACAGGATAGGAGATGACATTAGAAATACACATATCTGGCAAAGAACTTCTACCATGAATATATAAACATACATACATATATAGATAGATAGATAGATAGAACATAGATAGAGATAAAAAGACAACCTATCTAAAAAACTAGACAAATGAACATAATGAAAAGGATATTAAAATATCCAACAAATATTTGAAAAGCTGTTTAACTTCATTCTCATCAGAGATGCAAAGCAGCAAATTAAAACCACAAAGGATAGTACTATACCACCACCTGAATAGCTACAATGTAGACAAAAAGTATTAAATACCAAATGTTGACAAAAATGTCTAGATATGAGATAATGGTCAATGTTGAACACCTGGCTCTCTTAGAAATGAATATATAAGATCCCTGATTTATGGCTTTTTTTCCAGTCTCCATACTGTAAATACTACCACCATAGCCAATTTCAGGCAGCCATCCTGAGACCACTGAATGCAGAATTGAGAAGAGATGCCCACAATTGGTCCTTGAAAGCCAGTATGACCCAGCTCCAGAACACCACCAATGTGCAGCAACAATAATTCTCACATATTGTTGGTGGGAGTGTAAATTGATACAACCGGTTTAGAAAATCGGCAGTTTCTCCTAAAGTTGAAGACATGCATACCTTTATTCCACAGCACTTCTACTCTGGGGTATGTACCCAACAGAAATCCATACATGTGTTCACCAAAAGACATGTTTGAGGATTCTCATAACAGTGTTCATATGTAAAAGCTAAAATCTGGACACTACCCAAATCCCCATCAACAGTTTAAAGGATAAACAAATTGTAATATCGTGATATAATGGAGTACTATGCATCATCAGTCAATGAACTGCAGCCCACAGGAAAAATGTGACCAGTCCCTTATTTTTTTATAGCCCCTTAGTGAAGAATGTTTGTTACATTTTTAAATGGCTACATTTTTAACAGTTATACAATTACCTACATAAAGTCATCAATTTTGCCTCTTGACCTACAGGGATTGTGCAATTTGCTATCTGGCCCTTTAACAAAAAGTTTGCTGATCTTTGCTATAAATCAGTGAGAGTGAATGATTTACAACAGTGATCTCAAAGTATGGCCCCTGGATCAGCAGCATTAGCAGCACCTGAAAACTGGACTCCCAGCCTCCACCCCAGACATACTGAATCAAAACTCTGGGCTGTGACCCAGCGATTCGTGCTTGAACAAGCCCTCTTGGTAATTGTGATAGATGCTAAAGTTTGAGAACCAATGATCTACAATTCTAAACATGAATAAATATCACAAACATAATGTTGAGTGCAAGAACATAGATGCAATAAAGAACATACTATATAATTCCATTTATATAAAATTTAAAAACATGTACAAGTATTCTGTTTAAAAATCAAGACAATGGCTACCCATGGAAAGGGACCAGTGACTGGAAGGGAGCATGAGGTGAGTTTTTGCAATATTAAATTGGCTTGCAGATTGCTGCCTTCCGGCTGTGTCCTTAAATGGCAGAGAGAGACAAAGAGAGAGGGAGAGAGAGAGCACGCCAGAGAGAGAGAGAGCAAGCACACTTTGGTGTCTCTTCCTCTTCTTATAGGGGCACCAGCCTTTTCAAATGAGGGTCCTACCATTACAATTTCATTTAACCTTTATCACCTCCTCACAGACCCTGTCTCCAAATACAGTGACATTGGGCGTTAGGGCTTCAGCATATGAACTTTGAGAGGACGCAAGCATTCAGTCCATAATATATTCTAAAGGAAACTGGAAGCACATTCTTCAGGCAGAAGAAAAGTAATCCCATATGGAAGCTTGGGAATGCAACAACAACAACAAAATGAAATAAAATGGTAATAATATTAAAGAGTACTGATAGGCCGGGCGCGGTGGCTCACGCCTGTAATCCCAGCACTTTCGGAGGCCGAGGCGGGCGGATCACGAGGTCAGGAGATCAAGACCATCCTGGATAACACGGTGAAACCCCGTCTCTATTAAAAATACAAAAAAATAGCCGGGCGTGGTGGCGGGCGCCTGTAGTCCCAGCTACTCGGGAGGCTGAGGCAGGAGAATGGCGTGAACCCGGAAGGCGGAGTTTGCAGTGAGCCGACCAGCCTGGGCGACAGAGCGAGACTCCGTCTCAAAAAAAAAAAAAAAAAAAAAAAAAGAGTACTGATAATATAAACAATAATGTCTTGCTGGAATACAAGAATGTAAGACAAAAAATAAATGATAGGTCATAGATAAAGCATTCATGAAGCAAGTAAAAGTGTCAATTCATATTAAACTCTTATGAGTTAATGAATTTCCATTTTTATAGTAAACACTAAAATAATAGCAAAAAGGTATAAAATCTTCAAGCTAATAGAGTATATATGTGTATTTTAGAATGCTTGAATATACTCAATCTATATTCATTCTAAAATAAGGCAAGCAAGAGAAAATAAGAATATAGGCAGGTGGAATGAATAGAAATCACTTAATAAGCTGAACATTTTTAATGCAAATGTATTTGTAATTATAGTAACTATACATAGAGTAATGCTCCAATTAACTAAATACTGTCCAACTGGATCCTGCCAAGTCTCAACTATATGCTATTTATAGAACACAACTTCAAAACATAAAGGGAAAAGAGTGAAAGTAAATGAATGGGTAAAGACCATGCAAACTCTAACCAACATGTGGCTGGTATAGCTATGACAACATCAGATAAGGAAGACTTTAAAGCAAAAAGAATTACCAGAGAAAAAAATGACAATAGTAGGTAAAAATTAAGAATTAAATTTATGAGGAAATATTAACTATTCTAAATTTATATACTTAGTAACATGTCTTCAAAATATCTAAAGAAAACACTGACAGTAGTAAAAGAAGAAAAAGAAAAACCCAGAAACATGGTAAAATTTAATACACTTTCATCAGTAAATGATGGAATAAACACAAACAAGTTAGCAAAGACAAAGAATATGCAAAAGAACATTAAACCAAGTAACTATAGAATACATATTCTCCAAATACCCACACAACATGTAGAGAACTGTCCATTTTGCTGGGCCATAATACAATTATCTACATATTTCAAATGAACAAAATCATAAAATAATTTTTTAGCTATAATATAATCATATTAGGAAACAATAATGAAAAAGTAACTAGAAAAGTCCCATTGTTTAGAAGTTAAGCAATATGCTTGTAAATAATCCAACGGAAATCGAAAATATTATGAACTGAATAATAGCAAAAATACTATTTAGTAAACTTACTATTTATTAAAACTTACAGGATTTGACTTCTACTTCTGAGTAAAATGGAATAGTTCATGGCAGGTCAATATTTCCACTGAAAACAATTAGAAAAAAGATAGATTTCAAAAATTATATATATATTTATAGACACCCAATAACTGTAGAAGTAAGCAAGACTAGAGGGAATACAATTCCAGAATGAGGACAGTCTTTCGGAGGTAAACTGAGGCTCCACAGCTGTCTCCGAGAATATGTCCTGATTCTGAACATGGATCTGAGCTTGAGAATTTGAGCTAGGTCTAGGTGGAGAGCTGCTGCTGATGGACTTTTTGACAGCTACACAGAGCTGAAGTAAAAAAATGTAGATTAGACAGGCCTCAAATAGACAATTTATTTCTCCTTCAAGATATTTGCTAAACTCCAAAGCTAAACTGAAGAGGAAGATAAAGAGATTAAGCCAAAACTTAAAGCAAAGTAGAATTATTTCCACAGTCTCTAGGTGATTAGGAGGCAAAGGTTGGGGGTACAGGATTGGCAGGACTAAGAACAAATAACATATGAAAGCATTAGAGGGAGTAGTAAATTAACACCCACATCTTCCAACCACCTTTTGCAGATCTGGAACCTGCTGAAAGATAAGAATCCACACTTGGTCCTTGGCAGAACTTTTGGCAGACGGTAATGACAAAATTGGAGTCTTGAAGGATGCTAAATGCACAGCTGGTCTCTCCCTCAAAAGATTTGCCAAATTCTGAATCTTCACAGGGCAAGAGGCTAAAGAAATAATTCAAAAACCTCTGAATCACACAGGAAAAAAAAATGCCCATAGTCTCTTAGCACTGAGGTTACAAAGACCTGCCATGTACTCAAATAAATGTCCTGGGGTACAAGCCATAGAAATGGTAAATTGAGATTCATTAAACTAAATGCCAGCTTCCACCAGCTCAGTCTGTGATTAAAGTATAATATTTAGCTCCCTACTCTATCTGCCTAGCAAAGGAGATTTGGATAATTACACAAGGCTGAAGCGGCAGAACTTAGATTAGACAGGCCTCCAATAGATGACTATAGACAAATTATAGATCATGTGAAATCTATAATAGCTGGTGAGGGGGAAATCATGTGAGATAATAAGTATAAAAGCGCAATAAATGATATGTATTCAGATATCTTAATTTTACAAACAAAATGTTGACCAAAAAGACATCAGCTTTGAAGACAGACAGGTCTGTGTATAAACCACATACTCAGAAATAGTTTTTTGACCTTAAAAAAGTTATTTAACCTTCTAGGCTTCAGTTTATTTATTTGTAAATGGAAATAAATAATAGCAAGCAGAGAATATGCTCTCATAAGAATTACGAGATAATACATTTAAAGTAATTAAAACAATCTCTGAAATGTAAAAAATAATGGTTTCATTATTATTGCTGTCGTCATTACTACTGTGACAAAGAAATAGTAGCTTTTAGAATACTTTCCATTTTGCCAAATGCCTTTGCATTTATTATCTCACTTGATTCCTCCCTGCAATTAATATAAATGAACCAAAGATCATGTTCTGCATATTTCAAATAATGAATAAACTGAGACTCCCAAAAGAGAAATGACTTGCTCAGAGACAGGCAACAAGGTACTGAAGAACCAGGACTAGAGCCCTCAGCTATTCACACTTGTCCCGCTTTGTACAACTCCACATTACCTGCAAACAGGATATGAATCTATTCCATTACGCATATTGAACTCAAATGTTGTCTGCTGCTGAATGGGGCTTAGGAGCATTTTCTCAATATCCAAGGATGACACAAACATTCAGCTGATTGAGTACTAAGATAAATCTTACAGTTCATTTATTCTATCAACTTTCCCCTGCCCTCACTCATGCCATCACATTCCTCCATAGCCAACTTAAAGTCCATGGCATGGTCCATCATTCTAATCACTTCCTTGTGCACACAACACAATAAACTTCCTTGTCTCTATCTCCCTTCATCATACTAAATTAGCAAAACAAAATTCTGGTTAAATCTAATTCATTGCCTACTCTTAAGCCGTGCCTGACTGAGCAGCTGAATATGTGAATGTAACTGGACCAAAAATACATAACCAAGTTGGCTTCTCCAAATTCAAGCTGATCTTTGGTGCTGTTCAACAATCCTACCACATGTCCTTTCCATCTATTTTCCCACTCTCCAAGAAGACCATTTCTCACCTTCTCTTTACTGAAATTGCCTCACCTCCTTCCTATCCTCCCTCTCAATTGATGCCCTTGCTTTCTATTTCATTAAGAAAATCTAGGCCATCAGAAGAGAATGTCTATATGCTTCCCACATCTCCTTGCCCACCAGTATCGTGCATACATATTATGCTTTCTTTTTAGTGACTATGGATAAACTGTCCTTGCTCTTACCCCTCCACTTGTGAACTGTGTGTCAACTTCTCTGTCCTTTTAAGGATAACACTATAGAAATTCTACTCTCTTGTGAATCACTACTTATTTCTTTTTACTGGAGAATCCTCATCAGCATTCTGTGATACATCTCATTTTTGAAACCTTTCTCTTAAACCCACGTCTTCTCCCAGCTACAATCTCATTTGCTGCCTTTACAGCAACACTCTTTTAAAAAGTCATCTAAACTCACTCCCTATCCCCGATTTTTTATATTTTCCAAGTTTTATTGAGGCATGATTAGAAAATTCAAGTTGTATACAGTTAAAGTGTATACAATATATAATTTGGCGTAGTATATATTGTGAAATTATTATAACAATCAAGCTAAATTAACACACCACTACCTCACATAGTTTCTGCTTTTTTTCTTTATTAGGAGGTGTGAATGCTTAAGATCTACAGCTTTAACAAATTTTAAGTATACTTATTATTAACTATATTCACCATTCTGTATATCATATTGCCAGAACTTATTTTGTAAGTTAAAGTTTTGACCGAAATCTCCCTACTTCCCCAATTCCACAGCCTCTGGCAACCACTGTTCTACTGTCTTCTTTGACTGTTCTAGATTCTACATATAAGTCTTTCTTTGTCTGGCTAGTTTTGCTTAGCATAATGTCCTCCAGGTTCATCCATGTTGTCACAAATGTCAGGATTACTTTTTTATGGCTTAATCGTACTCCATTGTCTATATGTGCAACATTTTATTTATCCATTCATCTGTTGATGGACAGAGACTGCCTCTATATCTTAGCTATTGTAAATAATGCTGAAATGGACATAGGGGTGCAGATATTTCTTCAAGATAATTGTTTCATTTCCTTTGGGTATATACCCAGTAGTGGGATTAGTAAATCATATGATCAAGTCTGCTTCTGAAGCTCTGTCTTGAATTTGTCTTTTCTGTCACATTCTTCAGCTGTTTGGTCATTTTTTACAGTTTATGTTTCTTCATTAAACTTCTTATTTTGCTCATGTATTGTCCTCATTTCATTTAGTATTCTGTGTTCTTGATATGGTTTGGCTGTGTCCCCACCCAAATCTCATATTGAATTGTAGTTCTCATAGTCCCCACATGTAGTGGGAGAGACCTGGTGGAAGGTAATAGAAACGTGGGGGTGGTTTTTCCCAGGCTATTCTTGTGATATTAAGTTCTCACGAGGTCAGATGGTTTCATAAGGGGCTTCCCCCTTCACTCAGCTCTCATTCTTCTCCTTCCTGGCATCTTTTTTTTTTTTAAAAAAAAAAGGAGAAAATTTTTGCAATCTACTCAGCTGACGAAGGGCTAATATCCAGAATCTACAATGAACTCAAACAAATTTACAAGAGAAAAAACAAACAATCCCATCAAAAAGTGGGCAAAGGATATGAACAGACACTTCTCAAAAGAAGACATTTATGCAGCCAACAGACACATGAAAAAATGCTCATCATCACTGGCCATCAGAGAAATGCAAATCAAAACCACAGTGAGATACCATCTCACACCTGTTAGAATGGCGATCATTAAAAAGTCAGGAAACAACAGGTGCTGGAGAGGATGTGGAGAAACAGGAACACTTTTACACTGTCGGTGGGACTGTAAACTAGTTCAACCATTGTGGAAGTCAGTGTGGCGATTCCTCAGGGATCTAGAACTAGAAATACCATGTGACCCAGCAATCCCATTACTGGGTATATACCCAAAGGATTATAAATCATGCTGCTATAAAGACACATGCACACATATGTTTATTGCGGCACTATTCACAATAGCAAAGACTTGGAACCAACCCAAATGTCCATCAATGATAGACTGGATTAAGAAAATGTGGCACATATACACCATGGAATACTATGCAGCCATAAAAAAGGATGAGTTCATGTCCTTTGTAGGCACATGGATGAAGCTGGAAACCATCATTCTCAGCAAACTATCTCAAGGACAAAAAACCAAACACCGCATGTTCTCACTCATAGGTGGGAATTGAACAATGAGAACACATGGACACAGGAAGGGGAACATCACACACCGGGGCCTGTTGTGGGGAGTGGGGAGGGGGGAGGGATAGCATTAGGAGATATACTTAATGTTAAATGACGAGTTAATGGGTGCCGCACACCAACATGGCACATGTATACATATGTAACAAACCTGCACGTTGTGCACATGTACCCTAAAACTTAAAGTATAATAAAAAAAGGATGTGTTTGCTTCTCCTTCTACAATAAGTCTAAGTTTCCTGAGGCCTCCCCAGCCATGCTGAACTGTGAGTCAATCTAACCTCTTTTCTTTTAAATTGCCCAGTCTCCCTCATGTCTTTATTAGCAGCACAAGAATGAATTAATATAGTAGATTGGTACTGCTAGAGTGGCTTGCTGCTATAAGGATACCTGAAAATGTGAAAGTGACTTAGGAACTGGGAAACAGGCAGAGGTTGGAACAGTTTAGAGGGCTCAGAAGAAGACAGGAAAATGTGGGAAAGTTTGGAACTTCCTAGAGACCTGGAGGGCTCAGAAGACAGGAAGATGTGGGAAAGTTTGGAACTTCCTAGCGACTTGTTGAATGACTTTCACCAAAATGCTGATAGTGGAATGGACGATGAAGTCCAGGCTGAAGTGGTCTCAGATGGAGATGAGGAACTTGTTGAGGACTGGAGCAAAAGTGACTCTTGTTATGCTTTAGCGAAGATACTGCTGGCATTTTGCCCCTGCCCTAGAGATCTGTGGAGCTTTAAACTTGAGAGAGATGATTTAAAGTATCTGGAATAAGAAGTGTCTTTTTTTTTATTTTTTTATTTCCATAGGTTTGGGGGGCATAGGTGGTATTTGGTTACATGAGTAAGTTCTTTAGTGGTGATTTGTGAGATTTTGGTGCACGCATCACCCAAGCAGTATACACTGAACCCGATTTGTAGTCGTTTTTTCCTCACCCGCTTCCCACCTTTCTCCCTGAGTCCCCAAAGTCTATTGGGTCATTCTTATGCCCTTGCATCCTCATAGCTTGGCTCCCACTTATGAGTGAGAACATACGATGTTTGGTTTTCCATTCCTGAGTTACTTCACTTAGAATAATAGTCTCCAATCTCATCCAGGTTGCTGTGAATGCCACTAAGTCATTCCTTTTTATGACTGAGTAGCATTCCATCATATATATATATATACCACAGTTTCTTTATACACTCATTGATTGATGGACATTTGGGTTGGCTCCTCATTTTTGCAATTGTGAATTGTGCTGCTATGAACATGCATGTGCAAGTATCTTTTTCGTATCATGACTTCTTTTCCTCTAGTTAGATACCCAGTAGCAGAATTGCCAGATCAAATGGTAGTTCTACTTTTAGTTCTCTAAGGAATCTCCACACTGTTTTCCATAGTGGTCATAGTAGTTTACATTCCTACCAGCAACGTAGAAGTGTTCCCTGTCCACTGCATCCATGCCAACATCTATCATTTTTTTTTTCCGATTTTTTGATTATGGCCATTCTTGCAGGAGTAAGGTGGTATCACATTGTAGTTTTCATTTGCATTTCCCTGATCATTAGTGATGTTGAGCATTTTTTCATATGTTTACTGGCCATTTGTATATTTTCTTTTGAGAATTGTCTATTCATGTCCTTAGCCCACTTTTCGATGGCATTGTTTTTTTCTTGCTAGCTTTTTTGAGTTCCCTGTAGATTCTGGATATTAGTCCTTTGTCAGATGTATAGATTGTGAAGATTTTCTCCCACTCTGTGGATTGTCTGTTTACTCTGCCGACTGTTCCTTTTGCCATGCAAAAGCTCTTTAGTTTAATTAAGTCCCAGCTATTTATCTTTGTTTTTATTGCATTTGCTTTTGGGTTCTTGGTCATGAAATCCTTGACAAAGCCAATGTCTATAAGGGTTTTTCCAATGTTGTCTTCTGGAATTTCTATAGTTTCAGGTCTTAGGTTTAAGTCCTTAATCCACCTTGAGTTGATTTTTGTATAAGGTGAGAGATGAGGATCCAGTTTAATTCTCCTGCATGTGGCTTGCCAATTATCCCAGTACCATTTGTTGAATATGGTGTCCATTCCCCACTTGTATGTTTTTGTTTGCTTTGTCGAAGATCAGTTGGCTTAAGAATTTGGGGTTTATTTCTGGGTTCTCTATTCTGTATCATTGGTATATGCCTATTTTTATACCAGTACCATGCTGTTTTGGTCACTATGACCTTATAGTATAATGTGAAGTCAGATAATGTGATACCTCCAGATTTCAGTGTAATAAAAGCCATCTGTGACAAACCCACAGCCAACATAACACTGAATGGGGAAAAGCTGAAAGCATTCCCTCTGAGAACTGGAACAAGACAAGTTTGCCCACTCTCACCACTTCTATTCAACATAGTGCTGGAAATCTTAGCCAGAGCAATCAGA
Source organism: Homo sapiens (assembly GCF_000001405.40). NCBI lineage: Eukaryota > Metazoa > Chordata > Mammalia > Primates > Hominidae > Homo > Homo sapiens. The sequence goes on from NC_000023.11 coordinate 152,493,083, forward strand.
CTAGAGAAAGAAATAAGGGGCATCCAAATCGGTAAAGAGGAAGTCAAACTGTTGCTGTTTGGTGATGATATGATTTACCTAGAAAACCCTAAAGACTCCTCCAGAAAGCTCCTACAACTGAAAAAGAACTTGGCAAAGTTTCCAGATACAATATTAATGTACACAAATCAGTAGCTCTTCTATACACCAACAGCGACCAAGCTGAGAATCAAATCAAGAACTTAACCCCTTTTACAATAGCTGCAAAAATAAAATAAAATATTTAAGAATATACCTAACCAAGGAGGTGAAAGACCTCTGCAAGGAAAACTGCAAAACACTGCTGAAAGAAATCATACACAACACACACACAAAAAAAATGGAAACACTTCTAATGCTCATGGATGGGTAGAATCAATATTGTAAAAATGACCATACTGCCAAAAGCAATCTACAAATTTAATGCAATTCCCATTAAAATACAACCACCATTATTCATAGAACTAGAAAGAAAATCCTAAAATTCATATGGAACCAAAAATGAGCCCACATAGCCAAAGCAAGACTTGGCAGAAGAAATTTCTAAGCAGCAAAGCATTCAAGAGGAAGCAGAGCATAAGAGTTTGAAAAATTTGCAGCCTGACAATGCAATAGAAGAGAAGAACCCATTTTCTGGGGAGAAATTCAAGCCAGCTGCAGAAATTTGCATAAATAACAAGGAGCTGAATGTTAATCACCAAGACAATGAAAAAAAATGTCTCCAGGGCATGTTAGAGACTTTCATGGCAGCCCCTTTGATCACAGGCCCAAAGGCCTAGGAGGAAAAATGGTTTCCTGGGTCAGGCCCAGTACCTCCTGCTATGTGCAGCCTAGGGACTTGGTGCCCTGCATCCCAGCTGTTTCAGTGTGGCTAAAAGAGGCCAAGGTACAGCTCGGGCTATGGCTTCACAGAATGTAAACCCTAAGCCTTGGCAGCTTCCACATGGTGTTGAGCCTATGGGTGCACAGAAGTCAAGAATTGAGGTTTGGGAACTTCTGCCTAGATTTCAGAGGATGAATGGAAACACCTGGATGTCCAGGCAGAAGTTTGCTGCAGTAGTGGAGCCCTCATGGAGACCCTCTGCTAGGACAACATGGAAGGCAAATGTGGGGTTGGAGCCCCCACACACAGTCCCCACTGGGGCACTGCCTGTTGGAGCTGTGAGAAGAGGGCTACCGTCCTCCAGGCCCCAGAATGGTAGATCCACCTACAGCTTGCCCCCATGCATCTAGAAAAGCCACAGGCACTCAACACTGGCCCGTGGAAACATCTGGGAGGGGGGGCTGTACCCTGCAATGCCACAGGGGTGGATCTGCCTATGGCCATGGGAGCCCACCTCTTGCATCAGCATGACCTAGATGTGAGACATGGAGTCACAGGAGATTATTTTGGAGCTTTAAGATTTAATTACTGCCTCATTGGATTTCAAACTGGTATGGGGCCTGTAGCCCTTTGTTTTGGCAAATTTCTCCCTTTTGGAATGGGTGTATTTATCCAATGCCTGTACCTCCATTGTATCTAGGAAGTAATTGACTTGCTTTTGATTTTACAAGCTCATAGGTAGAAGAGACTTGCCTTGTCTCAGATGAGACTTTTTACTTGGACTTTTGACTAATGCTGGAATGAGCTAAGACTTTGGGGGACTGTTGGAAAGGCATGATTGTGTTTTGAAATGTGAGGACATGAAATTTGGGAGGGGTCAGGGGTGGTATGATATGATTTGGCTGTGTCCCCACCTGAATGTCATCTTGAATTGTAGTTCCCATAATCCCCATGTGTGGTGGGAAGGTCCAGGTGGGAGGTAATTGAATCATGGGGGCGGTTTTCCCCATGCTATTCTTGTGATAGTAAGTTCTCGTGAGATCTGATGGTTTTATAAGGGGCTTCCCACTTCGCTCTGCTCTCATTCTTCTCTGTCCTGATGCTTTGTGAAGAAAGATGTGTTTGCTTGCCCTTCCACCATAATTGTAAGTTTCCTGAGGCTTTCCTAGCCATGCTGAACCGTGAGTCAATTAAACCTATTTTCTTTATAAATTACCCAGTCTCAGGTATTTCTTTACTAGCAGTGTGAGAACAGACTAACACAGTCCTCTTGCATCCCATTAAGCTTCCGTATGATGATTATTTCAAATTCTTGTCAGGAAATTTGTAGATCTTCTCATTTATTTGGAATCAGTTACTGGTGATTTAATAGTTCCCTTTAGTGTTGTCATGTTTATTTGATTCTTCATGATTCATGCATGTAGCCTTGTGTTGGTATCTGTGCATTTGAAAGAGAAAACACCTCTTCCAGTCTTTACAAACTGGTTTTGGCAGGCAGTGACTTTCTCCTGTTGGGCCCTCAGGCTGATGGGATTTCCTCTGGTATCACAGTTAAGTGTGGTTGGAGCTGGGTCACATGGATGCTGCTGGATCTGTAGTGAAGTCTACAGTTGGTAGGCCTTTTACTTGAGGCTCAGTTGAGCATGAATCCTATGTGGTCCCTGGGAAGACAGGACTGCCTCCAGGAAATTGGTCAGTGGGGTTGGTGCTGGAACAAGGGCCTACAATTGGATCTGCAGTTGGATCCACAAACAAGAAGTCTGTTACCAGGTGCATAAACCAGTGTGGTTCCCACTGCATCCCTTAGAAAGCTCTCACTGGTTCACTGAGCATGTCTGAATTAGTCAGTTTTCACACTGCTAATAAAGACATACCTGAGACTAGGTAATTTATAAAGGAAAGAGGTTTAATAAACTCACAGTTCCACATGGCTGGGGAGGCCTCACAATCATGGCTGAAAGCAAATGAGGAGCAAAGTCACATCTTACATGATGGCAGGCAAGAGAGCTTGTGCAGAAGAACTCCCATTTATAAAGCCATCAGATCTCATGAGACTTATTCACTACCACGAGAACAGTATGGGGGAATCGCCCCCATGATTCAATTATCTCCACCTGGCCCTGCCCTTGACAGTGGGGATTATTACAATTGAAGGTGAGATTTGGGTTGGGACACAGCCAAACCATATCAATATCCTTTGGAAGGCAAGACTGACCCTGGATTGCAGCTAAGCAGTGGTGGAATTAAGTCACGGGGCTGTTTCAAGTTGCACAGACAGGACCAAGGTCTGCAGGCCTGCCTCCATTGGCATAGACATTGTGTCTCTCTCTGGGACCTTGAGAAGACAGGCTCTCTCCTGGAAAATGGTTGAGAGAGGGAGCAAAGTCTGAAGGTCTGCCTCTGGGGATAAGTTGGATGTGACTCCTCCCATGTCCCTTAGAAAATAGTACTGGTGGCAGAACCAAGGCTAAATGGGGCTTACGCTAAATCCAAAAGGGGATGAGGCAATATCCAGGTTTGTAGCTGGGACCATAAACAGTAAGAAGGCAGGGCACAGGCCTGCTCTCTCAAAACAGCCCCTCCCAGTCTTAGGCTCCACTCAGTTTTCACAAACTCCTACCTCAATCCCAAAGGTCCTACAGAAACACTTTTTTTTTTCCTGTGGATGGCTGACAAATTATTGTTGCTGCAGGGGGTATATTCAAGTGAAAACCTCCTATTCCACCATCTTGCTTCCCAATTTCTATCTTTGTACTTCCTGTTGAATTGGCTGTACTGATATTTTTATATAGCATACCACTTAACTCCACCTTCGCTGAATTATTTGGCAAATCCAGATCCTATGGATAATTAATGTGACTTTTCAGCAACATTTGATAGAAGTAACCACTCATTCCTTCTTGAAAGATTTTATTTATTTAGATTCCTGGATACTACACTCTCCCTTTTTTATTTTTCTCCCATCCCCTGGCTAGTCATCATTAGTCTCCTTTGCTAGCCATTTATTGCTCCGCCTCAGGTGTTGGAAAGCCCTAGAGCTTAGTGCTTAAACCTTATCTCTTTTCTCTATGCTCACTCCTTAAACGATATCCAGGCTGTTCACTGTACTTATGTTAATATGCCGATGACTCTAGAATTTCTATTTCCAGACCAGATCTCTTCCTTAATGTGAACCTCAAACTTAACACATCCAAGACCAAACTCCAGATTTTTACCCCTTAATCTGTTCTTCCTATAGTCTTCACAATCTCATTAAACGGTAATTACAACCTTTCCATTATGGATGCCACAAATAACTTGAGAGTTATCTTTACTTCACTCTTCTTCTCACACCCTATATCCAATCCATGGACAAATATTGGCTGTATTTCAAAGAACATTCATAATCTGGCCACATCCATTTACACTGCTACCACTCTAGTTCCCCACCTCCATCTTCAGCTTGGCCTATTTTAATAGCCCCATAGTTTCCTGCTTCCATCTTTGAACCCCTACTGCCTATTCTTTACGGTGCAACCAGAGTTAGCCTTTCAAAACACATGTAATATTGCATCACTCATTTATTAAAATGTTTACAATAGCTTACTAAATCACTCCGAGTGAAATCCAAAGTCTTCATTTTGGCATACAAAACGCTAAATAACTTTTTGAACTTTAACTCCTACTGCTGTTTTTCTACATAATTTCACTTAACTCCTTGCTATTCCCAAATACATCAAGTATGTTCCCACCTCTGCCTGGAATACTCTCTCAGTGCACAGTTCTCTCCCTTCTTCCAAGTATCTATTTAAATGTAACCTTAATATAAAGGACTTCACTATCTTACTAAACGAAACATTAGCAACCCTCACACCCCCATACACCTTCCCCTTTACTTCGTTGTTTTTTCTTCATCACACTTATCAGATCAACTTTTTGTCTATTTTCTACCCCTCTACCAGAATATCTTCATGAGGGTAAACAGTTTGCCTGATTTTCACACTGTTTTGTCTCCAGCAAATAGAACAACTCTTGGTACACAAAAAGTTCACCATGAATGTTTAATACATCTGCAAAGTCACTTTTGACATGTAAGGTAAAATATTCACAGGTTCATAGAATTAGGACATGGACATATTTTGAGGGACATTATTCAGCCTACTATAAGATTAAAGAACAATTCAAGTAAAATAGGTAACATTTATATAGTGCTTACTACGTACAAGGCCATCATTCTGAGCATTTTACAAACAATTATCTTAGTGAATTCTCCCAAACCACACTAATTGATTGTTACTATTGTTATTTCCATTTTACAGCTATTTAGCAAGGATCTTTTTTTCTTTCCAGGGCAGCAGTGTATCAAAAAGGAGTTTGGGTTAGGTAATCAACAGGATATTTTTCAAATCTAAACTTCCAGGATTCTGATATTTTGCTGGACTAATTTAGTTCATAAGGAGGGCAAAAAGTGGTTCTGCTGCTCTTACTGGCACAAAATTCAAAATGATCTAGAATAAAACTATCTCTCTGCCAACTGTTCATACCTGTCACTACCATCCAACCCTCTGTCATGAGGCTCCACCTTAATGCAATAATTCACCACCACCCACTCAAACTCTCATATGCTTTTTGGCTTATCTCTGCAGACAGTAAAGTTCATCAAATATTCCTTCTGCTCTCCTACATTTTTCAGCCCCCATAATGGTAGGCAGAACCATACTACTAGTTCTGGCTCATTCAATGTGTGTGAAAGGAGCATGAGCCACTTCTAGGCTGAGGCAGTGAAAATCCACTATTTCCTTTCTTCTACCATGAGAATATAAGATGCCCTCAGCCTGTGTCCCTGAGGCTCTGGAACAGAGCTCCTCATGCCAACCAGACTTAGAAACGTACTTAAAGAAAGAAAGAAAGGAATGTTAGTTTTGTCTGGACATCAAGATGGGGCAGGGGAAATCTGTTACCACAGCATTGTCTAGACAAACCTCACTAACATAGTATCACTGACAGGTATCTCCAAATCATTTGCTAAGCAGCTCAGACTGCATTTAGTCTCTCTACTGTCAATAAGATATGAATAGTATCTATCTGAGTAAGGTAGAAAGAAAGCCACCTGGAGAGCTATTTATTCTATAAGAAATGAACAGGAAATTTTGTTGTGCTGATCTCCTTGGAAAGAGCAATATGGGGCCTGACCATATCTCCTACTGAGACCAGATGCTCAGATATGATTAGAGTTCAGTGTCATCTCAAATTGCTATGAATGAAGGCGACTTATAGGTCTAGAATTGATTTCGTATAGTTAACAGAGCTGATTTTTGCTTGTTTGTTTTCCTTATATTTTTTCAACTGAGCATTTTTTGAGAATACATTATGGGAGACAATTCAGTTGAAAGTCATAGTCCATTTCATGAAGGAGTTGACAGTCTAATGGGGAGGTAGAAATGTATTCACCTAAATATGATATAAGGCAGAATCAAGTCAGTGCCCGTTATGAATGGGAATTCTCTGGTAGAGTCAATTATTCAAGACGACTGGGTCATAATGAGGAAAGGATCAAAGATGAATGTCATTGTTTGACTCCCCACCACCCAGCCCTGCACTTCATCCACCAACAACAGCATAATCTCAGGCCTTAAAACCTGGATATTACATTTATTTGCATAAGATTCTTAGAATGAGATAACTAGTATTTTGCTCCCCATTAAACTTTAAACATTTTAAAACATTTTTTCATGTGCTTTTCTATGTTTTCAGATTAAAATAACTTTGAAGAGTTGTAGTCAAAGTATATCCTATAGCAAAACAATATGCAATACTCGTAGCAAAGACTTAAGGGACTAAAACACATACGCAATAGTGATAAATTTGGTTAAACCCATATCATCTAAGAATTGCTACAAATTTGTCATGAGGATGGATGACAATCTGGCCCTAGAGCTGAGAATGTGAAACTTTCTACAGAGGCTACCAGAAGAAACTGGCATGCCCTAAACGTATTACCAGTGTTAAACCGTGCTATCCATGCCTGCTCTGGCCCTGGGGACAGCTGTGAGAGGAATGCTGCTTCAACCATCTTTGTAGTAGGATTAAGTTGGCTGACCCACCTTCTATAGTAAAGTCAAACACGGATAGAAGTTTAGTACTAGAAAGTGAGTCCCAAGTTGAGGAGGGGGACAGCTGAGCATAAGGTACCAGCTCTACATTTCCCTGACTCTCACTTTTCTCTCAGTGAATGCGATTTACTCAGGGAAGTGGTTAAGTGCATAGACTCTGGAGCCAAAATTGGTTGGGTTGAACTCCCAGTTTTATCATTTTCCAGCTCTCTGACCTCACAAAAGTCATTGAACTCCTCTGTAACACTCTAACAAACCTCAACTTAACATTTTTATCTAACAAACTATTTCACATTTTTGTCCACTTAGCATAACTGATACAGATTGGATTTTTTTCAAAGAAAGTTATTTTTCTAAATACTAAGAGAGAAAAAAAGAAGCAAATACAAGAAGTGCAAAAGACAAAAAGGATATGCAGTTCAGTTATATAAGGCCCACCTACTCCATCTGCTGCCTTGCTGTGAAAAGCTGGCAGGACCTTGCAACACTCCGCCTTGATTCCTTCTTTACTGTATGATTACTGCGTCATTTTGTTATCACTGAAAAGATGTCAAATCCCGACTACTACCCAAAGTTCTCCCCCTGAGCAAGCTAATACCATCTGTGATATGAAAGAGAGAGAGAGACAGAGAGAGAGAGAGAATGCAAAAGAAATTGATTTCCCCTGTGTTGATTATATATTAAGATCCTCCCACTCAAATCTGGCATTCTGATCTTTAAACTGACGAATACACTTCTCTCCCCCGGTGAATGACCTCACAGGTGATATTCAGCACCTTCATAAAGGCCATATTCCTATGCCAAATATAGATAGAACATTACCATAATGCAGCACCCATATGCCTAGATGTACACATATTTAGAGAGAATAACAGGGCAGATGTGGAGGGAAAGGGAATTTCATCATACATAGTGCTTCTCAAACTATAGTTTTAGAATTATCTATAGTAGAATCTCTTGTTAATGGAAATTTCTGTGTTCCACAAGAGACTTCTGTATCAGTATTGGGGTGGGACAAACAAATCTGCACTTTTAAAACAGACTAGATGATTCTGATGTACTGAAAGTCTGACAGTCCTTGTAATAAAGGCTTGGGCAAGGTTAGGTTATTAAATTCAAATTATGTTAACATCAAACTCCCTTTATGTGCCCTGAGCAATGCTATATGCTTTATGTAGGAGAACTCCTACAAATCTCACACCAGCCCTGTTAAAAATGTCCCATTTTGCTTACATTGAAACAGAGGCACATAGAAATAAAGTAACTCCCCAAGACTATTACAACTACTTGAAGCATAGCTATTAAAAGTGTAGTTAACAAAGGACAATGTGATAGTCTCAAAGAGAAGTATTGCAGGAATTGAGTAAGGGAAGAACTGAGAAGCCGTTAAGTGCATGGACTCTGGGGCCAAAGTTGGTTGGGATGAACTCACAGTTTTATCACTTTCTAGCTCTCTGACGTCACAAAAGTCATTGAGCTCTTCTGTACCCCAGATTTCCCAACTCTAAAATGGAAATGAGACTGTCTCAGTCTGCTTTCTGTTGCTTATAACAGAATACCTGAAACTGGGTAATTTATAAAGAAAAGCACTTAATCCATCTTGAATTAATTTTTGTATAAGGTGTAAGGAAGGGATCCAGTTTCAGCTTTCTACATATGGCTAGCCAGTTCTCCCAGCACCATTTATTAAATGGGGAATCCTTTCCCCATTTCTTGTTTTTGTCAGGTTTGTCAAAGATCAGATGGTTGTAGATGTGTGGTATTATTTCTGAGGGCTCTCTTCTGTTCCATTGGTCTATATCTCTGTTTTGGTACCAGTACCATGCTGTTTTGGTTACTGTAGCATTGTAGTATAGTTTGAACTCAGGTAGTGTGATGCCTCCAGCTTTGTTCTTTTGGCTTAGAATAACACTTAAATGTTAGACCTAAAATCATAAAAACCCTAGAAGAAAACCTAGGGAATACCATTCAGGACACAGGCATGGGCAAGGACATAGGCATGGGCAAGGACATAGGCATGGGCAAGGACTTCATGTCTAAAACACCAAAAGCAATGGCAACAAAAGCCAAAATTGACAAATGGGATCTAATTAAACTAAAGAGCTTCTGCACAGCAAAAGAAACTACCATCAGAGTGAACAGGCAACCTACAGAACAGGAGAAAATTTTTGTAACCTACTCATCTGACAAAGGGCTAATATCCGGAATCTACAATGAACTCAAACAAATTTACAAGAAAAAAAAAACAACCCCATCAAAAAATGGGCAAAGGATATGAACAGACACTTCTCAAAAGAAGACGTTTATGCAGCCAACAGACACATGAAAAAACGCTCATCATCACTGGCCATCAGAGAAATGCAAATCAAAACCACAATGAGATACCATCTCACACCTGTTAGAATGGCGATCATTAAAAAGTCAGGAAACAACAGGTGCTGGACAAGATGTGGAGAAATAGGAACACTTTTACACTGTTGGTGGGACTGTAAACTAGTTCAACCATTGTGGAAGTCAGTGTGGCGATTCCTCAGGGATCTAGAACTAGAAATACCATTTGACCCAGCCATCCCATTACTGGGTATATACCCAAAGGATTATAAATCATGCTGCTATAAAGACACATGCACACGTATGTTTATTGCGGCACTATTCACAATAGCAAAGACTTGGAACCAAGCCAAATGTCCAACAATGATAGACTGGATTAAGAAAATGTGGCACATATACACCATGGAATACTATGCAGCCATAAAAAAGGATGAGTTCATGTCCTTTGTAGGCACATGGATGAAGCTGGAAACCATCATTCTCAGCAAACTATCGCAAGGACAAAAAACCAAACACCGCATGTTCTCACTCATAGGTGGGAATCGAACAATGAGAACACTTGGACACAGGAAAGGGAACAGCATACACCGGGGACTGTCGTGGGGTGGGGGGAAGGGGCAGGGATAGCATTAGGAGATATACCTAATGTAAATGATGAGTTAATGGGTGCACCACACCAACATGGCACATGTATACATATGTAACAAACCTGCACGTTGTGCACATGTACCCTAGAACTTAAAATATAATAATAATAAAAAAAAGAAAAGCGGTTTATTTTGCTCATGGTTCTGCAGGCAGGGAAGTTCAAGGGGATGGCCCTGGCTTGTGGGGAGGATCTCTGGGCTGCATCATAATATGGTGGAGAAGGTCAAAGGGGAAGTGGACATGTGTGAAGAGACAAAACCCAAGGAGTATCCTGACTTTGATAACAAACTCGCTTCTCACGGGAGCTAATACATTTTTGGGAGAACTAATCTAGTCATGCCAGAATAAGAACTCACTGACTATCATAAAAAATGCACCAAGCCATTCATGAGGGATCCACCCCTATGACCCAAACACCTACCACTAGGCCCCACATCACATCACTGCCACACTAGGGATCAAATTTCAACATAATATTTTGTGGAGACAAACAAACCATGTCCAAACCATAGCATTTTCCTCCTAGCCCTTCAAAACTCATGTTATTCTTACATACGAAATACGATCATTCCATCTCAAATAGTCCCAAGTCTTAACTCATTTCTGCATCTGCTCAAAAGTCCAAAGTTCAAATTCTCATCTGAGACTTAAGGCAAGCTCCTTCCAGGTATGAGCCTATAAAATAAAAACAAGTTATTTACTTCCAGGATACCATGGTGGAACAGACATTTGGTAAACATTCCCATTTCAAAAGGGAGAAATAAGCCAAAAGAAAGGAATGACAAGCCCCAAGCAAGTCTGAAACCCAGCAGGGCAGACATTAAATCTTAGCACTCTAGTATAGTAATTCACACTATGTGCTACCTCCTGGGCACACTGATGTGAGGAGTGGGCTCCCAAGGTCTTGGGTAGCCTTGCTCCCATGGCTTTCCCGGGCACACCTCACATGGCTACTCTTACAGGTTGGAGTTGGATGCCTGCAGTTTTTCCAGGCTGGCATTCCACACCAGTAGTTCTACAATTCTGCAGTCCCAGTGGTAGCTCCATCCCTGTGGCTCCACTAGGCATTGCTCTGGTGGAGGTGGCTCTGCCCCTGTAGCTTTGGCAGCTCTGTCCCTGCAACTGATTTCCATCTGGGTACTTAGGCTTTCCAATACATCCTCTAAAATGTAGGTGGAAGCTGCCAAGTGTCCACAGCTCTAGACCAAAATTTACTTTGTAGGTTTAAATGCATTAATATAGGTAAGTTACTTAAAACAGTACTCTCAGCACATAGTAAGCTCTATATAAGAGGCAGCTATTATTGCCATTATTTTATTGCTTTGATTATAATTGTATACATTAGACTCAGATCTCCTTTAGCAGAAATTGATATATCCAAAGAGCTGTTCTTGTACTATTCCACCACCAGCCTCCATAAGGAACTGCTCACCATCAGTATATACATCTTGGGGTACCTGAAAATTTAAGGAAGTGAATACTCCAATTCTCTGCCATGGGAGGACTCTGTCCTCACAGTTCTGTTACAGTGGCTGCTGTGTTCACCATTAGAACCATTCCACTATATTTATACATTGAAGAGCTCAGACAAATTATAAGTAACTTAGCAGGGTTGAGAGGTAACATATGAACCTGCTAAGTCTTTGAAAAACAGCCAGCTGAAACTTAGATAAGAGCAAAGTTCCAAGGAAACAGAAAACCTTTTGAGGAAATTTCAGAACACAGATTATCACAATATGTGACACTTGGGAGAGGCTCTAGCACCAATTTATCTCACAGTGACTGAATCCTGAGCAAAATGGCACCAACTTAAGGCCTGTCTGCTTTGCTATAACTAAAACTGGTTTGTTTACTAAAAGCAGTGGCAGACTTTGTTGCTCTGGGCTTCACTAAAATACTTACTATAGATATCATAAAAGCAAACACCTGCACAATGGATAGGTGGGAAAGAGGAGAAAGGGCACCATAAGCAAAACACAATTATATTTGTCTTCTCCTCCCTGCCCCAGGAGAGGGGAGTTGGAGAACAGCCCATGATATAAGTCATATCTCTATGCTTCTTTTTCTCAGTGGCAGAGGGTGATACTAGACACCATGAAGCAGCTGGGGCAGCAGTGAAGAGGAAGATTGGCCAGAAAAGACAGTGCCTGTTTTTCTCTACAGAACTAAAGCAGGACACACATATGCCCCATGCTGCTAACTCAGCTGTTCAAAAGATATGAAACTTCATAATTCAAATAAGAATTTTTACAACAGAAAGGACTAGTTCCATCAAATCCAAACACGCATACTCCAAGTAGCTGCTGCCAGATAAGGAGCTGTTCTTCTTGGAAGAATCTTTAAGTAATGACTATTTGCTCTCTTTTGTCACTTAGGTTATAAATTTTAGAATCTTCATATTCTAGAGCTGGAAAGATTATGCTGTGCAGTGGCCAAATAAGATGAGAGAAGACTAACTCTATTAGTCCATTCTCACACTGCTGATAAATACAAACCTGAGATTTAGTAATTTATAAATAAAAAGAAGTTTAATGGACTCACAGTTCCATGTGGCTGGGGAGGCCTCACAATCATGGTAGAAGGTGAAAGTCATGTCTTACGTGAAGGTAGACAAGAAAGGAAATGAGAGCAAAGAGGGGGAAATCCCTTATAAAACCATCAGCTCTCATGGAAACTCATTCACTGTCACAAGAACAGCATGGAGGTAACCACCTCCATGATTCAGTTACCTCCCACCAGGTCCCTTCCATGACACGTGGGGATTCTAGGAACTACAGTTCAAGATGAGACTTGGGAGGAGACACAGCCAAACCATATCATTCTGCCCCTGGCCCATCCCAAATCTCATGTCCTCACATTTCAAAACACAGTCATGCCTTCCCAACAGTCCCCCAAAGTCTTAACTCATTCCAGCATGAACTCAAATGTCCAAGTCCAAAGTCTCATCTGACACAAGTCCCTTCCACCTATGAGCCTGTAAAATTGCAAGAAAGTTAGTTACTTCCTAGATACAATGGGGGTACAGGCATTGGGTAAATATACCCATTCCAAATGGGAGAAATTGGCCAAAACAAAGGGGCTACAGGCCCCATGAAAGTCTGAAATTCAGTAGGGCAGTTATTAAACCTTAAAGTTCCAAAATGACCTCCTTTGACTCCATAAATCACATCCAGATCACACTGATGCAAGAGGTGGTCTCCCACAGCCTTGGGAAGCTTTGCCCCTGTGGATTTGCAGGGTACTGCCCCTCTCCTGGCTGCTTTCTTGGCTGGCATTGAGTGTCTGTGACTTTTCCAGGCACATGATGCAAGCTGTAGGTGGAACTACCATTCTGGGGTCTGGAGGACAGTAGCCCTCTTCTCACAGGTCCACTAAGCAGTGCCCCAGTGGGGACTCTGTATTGGGGCTCTGACCTCACATTTCCCTTCCACACTACTCTAGCAGAGGTTCTCCATGAGGGCACTGCCTCTGCAGCAAACTTCTGCCTGGACATCCAGGCATTTCCATACATCCTCTGAAATCTAGGCGGAGGTTCCCAAACCTTAATTCTTGACTTATGTGCACCCACGGGCCAAACACCACATATAAACTGCCAAAGCTTGGGGCTTGCACCCTCTGAAGCAATGGCCTGAGCTGTACATTGGCCCCTTTTAGCCATGGCTGGAAATGAAGCATCTGGGATGTAGGGCACCATCTCCTGAGGTTGTACAGAACAGGGGGGCCCAGGGCCCAGCACAGAAAACCATTTTTCCCTCCTAGGCCTCCAGACCTGTGATGGGAGAGGCTGCCATGAAGGTCTCTGACATGCCCTGGAGACATTTTCCACATTGTTTTGGTGATTAGCATTTGGCTCCTCATTCATTATGCAAATTTCTGTAGCAGGCTTGACTTTCTCCCCAGAAAATGGGTTTCTTTCCTATTGCATTGTCAGGCTGCAAATTTTCCCAACTTTTATGCTCTGTCACCTCTTGAATGGTTTACTGCTTAGAAATTTCTTTCACCAGGTACCCCAAATCATCTCTCTCAAGTTCAAAGATCCGCAGATCTCTAGGGACGGGGCAAAATGCCTCCAGTCTCTTTGCATAGCACGAGTAACCTTTACTCCAGTTCCCAGTAAGTTTCTCATTTCCATCTGAAACCACCTAAGCCTGGATATTATTGTCCATATCACTGTTGGCATTTTGGTCAAAGCCATTCAACAAGTCTTTAGGAAACTCCAAATTTTCCCACATCTTCCTGTCTTCTGAGCCCACCAAGTCTCTAGAAAGTTCCAAACTTTCCCACATTTTCCTGTCTTCTTCTGAGCCCTCCAAACTGTTCCAACCTCTGCCTATTACCCATATCCAAAATATCTTCCACATTTTCTGGTATCTTTACAGCATTGCCCCACTCCTGGTACCAATTTACTGTATTAGTCCATTTTCACGCTGCTGATAAAGACATACCTGAAGCTGGGTAATTTATAAGGAAAAAGAGGTTTAATGGACTCATAGTTCCACGTGGCTGGGGAGGCTTCACAAATATGGTGGAAAGTGAAAGGCATTTCCTTTATGGTGGCAGGCAAGAAAGAAAATGAGAGGGAAGTGGGGGAGAACCCCTTATAAAACCATCAGATCTCATGAGAACTCACTCACTATCATGAGAATCACATAGAGGTAACTGCCCCCATGATTCAATTACCTCCTACCATGTCCCTCCCACAGTGGAGGTTACAATTCAGGATGAGATTTGGATGGGGACACAGCCAAACCATATCACCAACCATGGGCTAAGAAGCAAGGGATGCTCAGTAAATATCTATAGATTTGAACCAAAGTGAATTACAGTGGGTTATCAATCTTAGAAACATGACTTTTGATAATTAATGAGATGTGATTACACCACATTGAGACTTGACTTTCTTGTTTGGATACTAAATTGGCTTCTCTTCCATCTCCTATTTGCAATAATTCTTCCAAGGATATAGACAAGGGCTCAAACATAATATCATAAAGTTCTTTTAGTGTTCTGGGATGCAATTTACCTGTCGTACAAACTGAATTCATTTATTTGTTTGTTGTCCAAACTCTTTTGGAATATAATTCCTTCTCTTCAAAGCTTATTCTCATATATTGCAATGACAGCACTACTGGCATTTGAGGTGGGGCAATTCTCTTATAAGACTTCAGTACATCTGTCTCCTACCCACTAAATACCAGCAGCATGCTCCCCTCCGCCAGTTATTGTGTAACCAAAGAACCCACTCGCCCAATACCAAATGTTCCCTCATGGGACAGTACCTCTTCTGGTTATGAATCAATCTATCATTTCCAATTTGATGGCCCTTCTCCTTGTTGGAAAACATGGACATAAAAACGAGCTGAGTAGCTCTGCTTTCTGTCTGATGCCTGTTAACTTTAAACCACCTGCTCCAAACTGGGTGGCAGGTAAAGGTAAGTTCATAGATAATTTAAATACAGTGAATGGAGGGTGTAGAGAGTAATGAATATACATAAAAGAGATGACATTCAGGCATTTAGACATGGCAAAATAATGGGGAGATGGGGATCAGGAGCCATTCATTAAATAAATATTTTAGTTCCTAATGTGTGCCATGTATTTGCTGTTACAAACAGGAATGAACAAAACAGACAAAACTTTTTATCATCAAGGAGCTTATATTATTATTGGGGAAAGACTGACAATAAACATGTAACTCATATACCTGATGGTATAAAATGCTATGGAAAATGGCCAGAGAAGGCCTCTCTGTAATGATGACATTAAGGCAAGTAAAAGTTAGGAGGAGGTTACAATATCCCATATGATGATGGTGGTGTAGTCTTGTGTGAAAGCAAGGGAGGTGGTATAATTCCAAAGGAAGCTGACAGAAGTTGCTGAAATTTGGGGTATGTGAGGGAGGCATAAATTATTACTGCAGGGTTAGTGGTCTTATACACTGGGGCAAAAAAGTGAGAGTAGGATGACATTTACTGAGCTGGAGGAGGAGGTTTACTGCTGATGGGGTTTTGGTTTTCATTATAGGAGAAGACAGGCACTCAAGAATTTTGTTTGGGCCATCCATCTGAGTGGAGATGCTGAAAATAAATCAGTTAGAAAAGAAGTTAAGGCTGGAAATACGACAGTTGTTACCATATAGATCATATTTATAGTCATTGACAAGATCCCCTAGGGAAAGAAGGGAAGGGCTTAGGACTGAGCCTGAGGGCCTCCCCCAAAGTTTCGTAGGCAGGAAAGGAAAGGAGTGAAGAAAGCTGAAAGTAGCCAGTGAGGTAGAAGGACAATTAAGAGAGAATGGGATGACAGAAGCCAAGGGATGGTAACATTTCAAGAAGAAAAGGAAAGCAAACAGTTTCAGGTACTGCTGAAAGATTTGGTATGATGAGCAATGAGATTTGACCATTGGATTTGATAAAGCAGAAGTCCTTGGCAAACATGGCAAGAAAAGTTTCAGTGAAGTGATGAAATGGAAAACTTGACTGCAATGGATTTATTAGTGAATAAGAAAAGGGAAACAGTGAGTATAGAAAATTCTTCTGAGAAATTTTGCTGTAAAGAGAAGCAGAGATACACTTCAAAAAGCAGAAAAGGAATGGGAAGTCAAAAAAGTTGTTTTGCATATTTTTATGATAGAAGATATTACAGCATGTTTGTCAACAGAGGGAAATCAATTGGTAGAAAAAGAAAGGTTGGTGAAGCAGGAGAGAGAGGTGAGACTTGTTGAAGGGCTGCTCTTTAGTAGAATGCAAGGTACAAATTGAGAGATTAACATGAGTTCGCAGTACACAGCTCTGAGAAATGGGAGGCAAGTTATATGAGTACAGATTATGAGAGGTAGATAAATGACATGGTAAGAGCATGAGGAATTTGCCTTCTAATTGTTTCTGTTTTCCCAGTGCAAAGTAAGAATGGAGGAGAAGATATCGGATGTTTAAACAGAGGTGACTGTGAATTAGTTGTCTAAGAATGTGGGGAAGTGAGTGAAAAGGGCACTTAGCTTAAGACCTTAAAAATTATTCCCTCGTCTTCAGACATGGATAAAACCATCCAATAAAAAATTAAACTATTTCTTTTTGTTGTTGAATTTTTATGGCTACCATCACAAATTAAAATAAAAAAATTAAAATTAAATTAAAATAAAATAAAATAAAAAATAAATTAAAAATAAACTAAAATAAAAAAAAAATTTTGCAATAGTTGGCCCATCTGCAGCTTTGAGAAAAGTTCATCGATAACTAAAGGTGCCTCATCTGATACCAATTTAAAAAACGAACCCTTATCCATCATTTTATGAGACTGGAGAATATGGCTTGATCTTGGTTTTGACACAAAGAGGAAAATGCTTAATAATTCAGTAAGTGCTTAGGAAAATGTTTAGAAAGCCACCTTGTCCCCCAGTATGGCCGTGTCTCCAACACTATGCTTCAGAAAATAAAACTTTCAACATGTGCTCAGTCAGTCAAAAACACCTCTCGGAATCAAGTTCTGTGCCAAACCAGACACTTAAAAGTAGAAAAGAGAGGCCAAGAAAGGAACATGGAGACAAACTCAACCTGCTCCCTGATGTGTCAGCTCCATCTTTGCTTATATTCTAGCAAGGGAAATAGCATTAGTATAAGAACAACTAATGTAAGACAAATAGCATCACTTAAATACTAGCAGATTTATAACCTTTTGTTTGGCTGAACCCCTGCCTAGAATACAAAAAGTTCACCACTGGATAGCCAGGCACAGTAGAAAGAGATATGATTAAAATGAAAATAACACCAACAAATATGGACAAAATTTCCCCCAGTCTCTCCAAGTCCCTCCAATGCTCTCTGGACTCTAAAGATTACGTAAGTATACTCCAGTATCTCCAAGTGTCGAGTAGTAGTACCTACCGTAACTTATAGCCTCTGAAGGTAAGAATTCTCTGTAGCATTTTCCCACTATTGCCCCACTCAACTACCATGTCATCATAGGCATAGTCATGTTATTGGACAGAACCAATCACAGTTCTCCCTTCAGGAATAAACTGGTCACCATTATCAGACTCAAATAATTTTGTGTCCTCTCTTCAAGGGCCTACTTGATCTACTCTTAGAACTTTACCCAGATAATGTCTACTCACAATTAGACAGGACATCAGACTTAACCAGGAAATTATTCATATCCACAAGGGGAACTTTCCAGATCCATTTCTGTTCTCTCCAACAGTTAGCCAGTTTTAGTGACTTTCTCTTCCAGATTCCTATTCTTTATGAGAAGAATATTGACCCAGTCCTGAAAATGACACTGTGTCCCTCTTTTCATCACATTATGATGAGGTAATGTGACTCCTTCATACTCCTTGGCACATGATTACTGGTGAAAGAGGCTTATTGTCACTCCAAAGGGACCATCATAAAAAACACTCCAATATATGCTAAAGCTCACAGGTTTTGACAAGAACCATAAAATACACTTGAAAAATACCATAGGAACATAAACGTGGGAATCATTGCTGATGACTGGGAAAGGCCAAGAAAGCTTCATGGGACCCAGGTAACAAAGTGGCATATGTAGCCCTTGAATCTAAAATAAAAGTCAAAAATAAGAAAAGAAAGCTTCATGGGAGACATGTCCCTGAATGATGAATAAGAATTAAGCAATTGATTGATGAAGGGGAAAAGATATTCATAAAAGAAGAGAAAACCATACCAAGAGACAAGTTCAAAAGTAGCAGTCCAGTTTGCTGGAGAAATAAATGTAGCTGAAAAGGTGATAAAACACAGACGGGGTCACATTATCAGAAAATTTGAAAGCCAGGGAATTGACTTTGGACTTGACTTTGGTAACCTGAAAGAACAGAGTTCATTGTCATCATCATTTTATGGTGAGAAGCATAATGTTATAGTGCAAAACACAAATGAACTAAGACATACTCTTGGTTCTATCCCTAACTAGCTGTGGGAACTGAAGCAATTCATTTAACTCAGTTTATCCCACATATGTATAATGATGGAGTTAGAATGAATGGTCTTTAAAGGCCCATTTTGCTCTGATACAATGTAATCGGAAGAATCCTACCTATTCTTCTTGGTCAAGCTTTTATGTGACATCTATTATCTAAAATTTATATTAAATAGTTGTACTAAAAGTTTTAAGCTAAT
This sequence comes from Homo sapiens, assembly GCF_000001405.40. Classification (NCBI taxonomy): domain Eukaryota; kingdom Metazoa; phylum Chordata; class Mammalia; order Primates; family Hominidae; genus Homo; species Homo sapiens. The sequence continues at coordinate 152,512,129 of NC_000023.11, forward strand.
AACTCTGATTTACCAGAAAGAAAGGTTGATAATAAACAATATTTTAGAAATTCTCCAAACCTGCCATGGATTATAGAGGATTGCTACATGGGGAAAAATAAATTAAATTAAATTAGCGCAACAATTTGGAAACCAGGAAATATCTACCACCTCCTTGCAACTCAGGACAAGCAAGAGAAAAGGTTCAGTAGTAAAGGGAAGCAAAGAGGCCACTGTTAGAAAGATATATGAACTTTTATTTTGAGACTGTGAAATGAGTGCAACCATTTAACTCCTTAAATGCCCAAAATTACTACTGAAATTGAAATAATAGAAAATAAAAAGAAGATAATATATTTCAATACAAAAATATGGAAAGGGGAACTATAATTATACCAAAACACTGAAGAATTTCTGCAAGATATAGTTATAATATTGATAGAGCATAAACAGTGCCATGTAAAATAGAGGAGGGAGATTACTGTCACAGAGGTAAGAGACATGCTTTAAAATGGTTCTTCATAGGATGAAATTCAAAGCTTTGGGGAAGCAAAAACAGGAAGCACAAGCAGGTAATAGAAAAACTGTTATAGTGATAAAATATTGGAGAACAGGTGAAAGAATCATTTACACCTTCCAACCTCAGTACCAAGTTGTAAATAAAGAGTACATGGATACGGTATTTTAGTCTAAACATCAATTATTTTTTTAGGAGATAGAGTCTCTTTCTGTCACCCAGGATGGAGTTTAGTGGCATGATCACAGCTTACTGCACCCTCAACTTCCTGGGCTAAGCAATCCTCCCACCTCAGCCTCCCAAGTAGCTGGGACTGCAGGTGCATACCACCCCGCCTAACTAATTTTTGTATCTTTTTTTTTTTTTTTTTGTAAAGACAGGGTCTCATTTTGTTGCCCAGGCTGGTCTCAAACTCCTGGGCTCAAGCGATTCTCTCACCTCAGCTTCCCAAAGTGCTGGGCCTACAGGTGTGAGCCTCACACCTGGCCACATCAGTTACTTTTAAAACACAGAGTATATTCCATAAGGAATATCTATTATGTGTGTTGGGACTCTAGTGATATCTTCAATTCTCAATAAAAATGATGTGATGTTGGTCAAAGCACACAAAATTTCAGTTAGCAAGAGGAATAAGTTCAAAAGATCTATTGTACAACAATAGTGACTACAGTGACTGCAGTGCACAACAATGTAGTGTATACTGGAAAATTGCCAAGAAAAGTAGATTTTAAGTGTTTTTGCCACAAAAAAGTCTGTGAGAGAATGCACATGAAAATTAGCTTGATTTAGACATTCCATAATGTATACAAATTTCAAAACATCATGTTGTACACCATAAAAACATACGCTTTGTATTTACAATTAAAATAATTAACTAACCAAAATAAATACATAAATGCATGAAAAGAAAGAAATGGGGGGAAATGGGGAAAACACAACTCTGCATAGGCGTTAATACATTAAAGTGTTCTACTTCAGGATAATGACTTTTTTTGCCAATAACAACAATATCTGGCTTGTCTAGAAATTTCATACCAAAATACTCTTGAGAGAAGTCTGTCAGCATATATACTCCTGTGTACACAGGGCAAATTACTCAATCCTCCATTCAGCAAAGAGGTTTATTGTGACAATGTGCTCCTATAACTACTAAGGAAAACTGTATTGGATCCAAATGATGAGCTAAGATCTTCTTTGATAAATATGAATAGGCACTCAAGAATCATCAAATCCTTGAAGAAAACCATGACAATGAAAAAGAAGCAAGATGAACATATTAAACAATTATCCCCAGGAGAAAGAGGCTCATTTAGTCACCCCAGAAAAAGTCAACAGGATGTTAAAACAATAAAATAAGAACACACTACTATGAAAATACATCAGTCTGATCTATAAGAAATTTAAAACTTTGTTTTTAGAATTTTTTTTAACTGAAGGAAAATTGAGAGAAAAAAAATGGCCAAATATTAAATTAGTGATCTGGAAGCCCTCGCTAGGATATTCTCCCAGAAATCTCTAAGAAAGGAAAATCAAAACATCAAGACAAAAACAATGGATTTAGTAGATTATTTGATTAGTCCTATAACGACTAAAAAGTACTCTGTAATTAACATCTTCCCACAAATAAAGCTTCAAGCCTAGATGTCTTTGGAGACTTCAACCAAACATTTAAAGCAAAAATAAGGACAACGATACACAATCTCTTTCTACAAAGAGAAAATGAGAGGATATTTCAACCACATTATAAGGCCAACATAACTTTGATACCAAAATCTGATTAAAACATTGTAAAGAAAAGAGAACTACAAGTGATTCTCACCCATAGAGATGTAAACATTCAAAACAAAAGATTTGCAAAGCGAATAAATAAATATATAGGAACATGGAAGGATCTGGAGGCCATTATCCTTAGAAAACTAACACAGGAACAGAAAACCAAATATTGCATGTTCTCACTTATAAATGGGAGCTAAATGATGAGAACACGTGGACACATATAGGGGAACAACACGCACTGGGGCCTATTGGACGGTGGACATTGGGAGGAGGGAGAGAATCAGGAAAATATAACTAATGGGTACAAGGTTTAATACCTGGGTGATGAAATAATCTGTACGACAAACCCCCATGACATATAACAAACCCGTACATGTACCCCTGAACTTAAATAAAAGTGAAAAAAGAAATATATATAAAAGAAAACATCATGAACAAGTTGGAGTTATTTCAAAAATGCAAGCGTGGCTTAAAATTTTAAAATCAACATAATTCATCACATTAACCAAATAAAGGGGAAAAGAATCATATAAATATTTCAATCATTAAGAAAAATGTTACATTACTGGGCATGCTCACATGCACCTGTAGTCCAGCTAATCGGGAAGCTGAGGCAGCAGGATCACTTGAATCCAGGAGTTCAAGACCAGCCTGGGCAACATAGCAAGATCCTGTCTCAAAAAAAATGTTCTATTGCTAATAAAAAGTCTTAAAAACTAGGAATAGATAGGAATTTCCTTCATCTGATGAAGAGTAGCTACAAACAAGACTACAGCAAACATCATACTGAATGATGTAATTTTAGTAGTTTCCCCTTTAAGATCAGGAGTGAGCCAAGGATGACGACTATCTAAACTTTTAATCAGCATCGTACTAGAGATCCTAGCCAAAAAAAGGAAAGATAGAAATGCAATTGAAAAGGAAAAATTAAAATTGTCATTTTCAGGGGTATAATTGTGAATATAGAAAATTCAAAAGGATCTATAGATTATTCAAATTAATAAGTTCAGCATAGTTTCTGTATTTCTATATATCAGCCATGAACAATTACAAAACAAAGTAAAATAGTGTTTACAATAGCATGAAAAGTAAAGAGGCTCAGAATCAACGTAGCAATAGTTTTTCTCAATAGAGGATTGCCTTAATGCTGAGAAAGTCACTCTAGATGCAGGGTTGTTATAGATCTGCCTAGCAAAGCTTAAAATCAAGGCTTAACTTAGCAAAATTTTTCTAAGTAACTTAGCTTTGTTCCAGAACAAAGCGCAAAAACACATAAAGGAATACAAAAACAACCAACACACAACAATCTGCCACAAAATGTCTGCAGTCCAATAAAGAACTACCAGGCATGCACAGCCATAAAAAACGATGAGCTCATGTCCTTTGCACGGACATGGATGAAGCTGGAGACCATCATTCTCAGCAAACTAACACAAGAACAGAAAACCAAACACCGCATGTTTTCACTCATAAGTGGGAGTTGGACAATGAGAACACATGGACACAGGGAGGCGAACATCACACACCGGGGCCCGTCGGGGGTTGGGGGCTAGGGGAGGGATAGCATTAGGATAAATACCTAATGTAGATGACGGGTTGATGGGTGAAGCAAACCACCATGGCACGTGTATACCTATGTAACAAACCTGCACGTTCTGCACATGTATCCCGGAACTTAAAGTATAATAAAAAAAAAAATTACCAGGCATGCAAAGAAATAAGAAAATGTGATCCATAATAAGGAGAAAAATCAGTCAATAGAATAAAAACATAAATAACACAGATTACAGAATTAATAGACAAAGGCCATAAAACAGCAGTTATAAATTTCTGCCATGTATACAAATAGGTAGAGAAAAACATGAAGACAATGAAGAAATAAACAGAAGATATTAAAAGACTTAAATTAAAATTCTAGAGAAAAATACAGTATCTGAGATGAAAAAAATTCAATAAAGTAACCTAACAACAGATTGTCATTGCAGAAAAAAAACGAATAAACCTTTAGACAGAGCAACATAAACTATCAGAATAAAACAGAGAGAAAATGGCTAAAAAATGAAAGAGTACCAGTGCACATCAAGTGGCCTAACATATTTGTAATTGGAGGCTGAGGCATGAGTAAGATTATTTAAAGAAATAATGGGCAAAATTTATAAATTTGATGAAAACTATAAACCTACAAACCCAAACCAAATGAATCCTGAGCATAAGAAAAATGAGAAAACATTAACTACAATCTAATTATGAAAACAGTAATAAAAAGAACAAATCTTTAAAGCAACCAGAAGTGGAGAAAAAGATATATGATACAGAAAATGAATAAAATTAAATCAGACTTCTCACCAGAAACAATGCAAACCCAAACACAGTGGGGAAACATCTTTGAAGCATTGAAAGTAAAACAACAAAAATCAACCATCAATCTAGAATTCTATACCCAGTAAAAATATCTTTCAAATGTGAAAGTAAAATAAAAATATGTCCAGACATACAACAGCTAAGAAAATTCATCATCAACACACCAGCATTAGAATGAATGCTAAAGGAATTGCTTCAGGCAGAACAAGAAAAGATAAACGGAAATTTGAATATACACAAAAGAATAAAGAGCCCTGGAAACTTAAATATGCAGATAAATATAAAACACTTTTTAAACTTATTCCTTAGTCTCTTAAAAAGATAATTGGCTTTGTTTACAGTTGACAAAGCTACTTTATGAAATCAGCTGACAGAGATAAACTGTAAGAGCATTATCAGCTTGATTAGTGCATAATGTTACAGTGGGTTGCTCATCTCAGGCCTTAAAGCTTTTTGAAAACCAACAGCATCACAATTTGTTTTGGACTTTATTACACTATTATTCTCATTATGAAAATTTAGTTTTGTAGGGTTTTTCATTCTTCAAAGAGGCACAGGGCCAAATTGTTAGAGGAAGAATGCAGAACGTAAATTTGTATATTATTACTTTAATATGCCCACATTTTCCTTAAAATATTAAAAGAAGGAATCCTGCAAAATAGAAAGATTTGTTTGTAAATTCTGATAGTGAGATAATGAGCTAGTGACGGGTAATTTTTCTTTTCTTGGACACTTAATTCTGTTATGAAACTCAATTATCACATTGCTTTTTGGCATCATATCTGGAACGCCACCATTTAAAAGTTAAGATTCTTGGTATTTGGGAGTCTTCTAGATGCTACTAAGAAAACAGGAATGAGTTTCTTTACTGAAAGTTTTTTGATGTGGTGTCATAGAATAACGTGTTGTAGACACAACCAGCTGCTTTATTACCTTAAAACTAGGCATTTGTAAGTATTAAAATTTAAGAATATGGCAGATGATGTCCCTTAAGATTCAGACTATACTTAACTAGCTCTTCAGATTCGACAACACAATTTTTCCTCTTTTAAAAAATTATAGGAGACTTGTAACTCAATACTGCTATTTTCTGTTTCTAATTTGCTGCTGATAATGTATATGCATTTAACATGCTGTGTAAGCTGTGTCCTAGTTACTAAACAGCTTATGCAATGTTACTTTGCTAAATAGTCAAAAGAAAGGAAAAAGATAACTGTATAAATCAAAAGTAATAACAACATAGTATGAGGCATAAAACATATGTTGGAGTAAAATGTACAATAAAAATAGCACAAAGTCTTGGGGAGGGAAATAGAAGCACTGTATACTGTTGTACAGTTCTTATATGACACGAAAAGTGGTATAATGTTATTTGACATTGGTACAATGTTGTTCAACATTGTACTGGAAATACTATCCAGTGGAATAAAAAAAGATACAGGGAAAGCAAGCATGAAGCTTGGAAAGGAAGGAATAAAACTGCATATATTCACAGAAGACATAATCATTTATGTAGAAAATCTTAGATAATCCACAAAGAAGCCACTCGAACTAATATTTGTATTTTGAAAAATTTAGAGAGTATATGAGGTTAATTAATATACAAAACTGATTGCATCTCTGTATACTAGTTATGAATACACAGAAATCGAAATTTAAAAATTTAGAAGTTACCATTTAGGATACCATCCAAAAAATAAAATACATCCAAACAGCATCCAAAAAATTCAAATGAAATATTGAATTTTAAGGAAGAAATTGACAATAGATTATCAAGAGATGTAAAACAGAATTACAAAGCATTGTTGGGAGAAATCAAAGAAGTCCTAAATAAAATGCAAAGATATACTGTACTGACAGATCGGAAGTTTTATTATTGTTAATATTCATTTCTACAGATCGACATTCAATATGAAGTCAATGAAAACTCTTGCAGACTTTTGTAAAAGTTGACAAGCTAATTCTAAAATTGATGTGGAAATGCAAGAAACCTAAAACAGTCAAAACAATTTAAAAAAATAAAATAAGAATTGTAGGACTCACACTACTAAATTTAAAGATAATATAAAACTACAATAAAGACAGTATAGTATTGGTGTAAATATAGATATATAGATCAACGAAACATAGTAAAGCATGTAGATATAGAACCATTCAAACATGGTCAATTGGTATACAGAACCAATGAAACGGCAATTATTTCAAAAAATTGTACTGGAACAATAAGATATCTGTATGCAAAAAAAAAGAACACTGACCATTACCACACACCTTACAAAAGTATTAACTTGAAATTGATTGTAGACCTAAATGTAAGGGCTAAAACTTTTAATGTTCTAGAAAAAAAAAGAAAAAATTTGAGTGACTTTAGAATAGAAAAATATTGTTTTAAATAGAACACAATAACCATGACATGTAAAAGAAAGGTGATAAATTTGTCTTCACTAAAATTAGAGGCTTTGGCTCTTCCAAAGACACTGTTAAGAAAATTAACAGGCACGGTGGCTCACATCTGTAATCCCAGCACTTTGGGAGGCCAAGGAGGATGGATCACGAGGTTAGGAGTTCAAGAAAAGCCTGGCCAAGATGGTGAAACCCCATCTCTAGTAAAAATACAAAAACTAGCTGGGCGTGGTGGCGGGCTCCTGTAATCCCAGCTACTCGGGAGGCTGAGGCAGAGAATTGCTTGAACACAGGAGGCAGAGGTTGCAGTGAACTGAGATCACGCCACTGCACTCTAGCCTGGGTGACAGAGCGAGACTCCATCTCAAAAAAAAAGAAAAGAAAAAAAAAAGGAAATTAAAAGGTAAGCCACAGACTGATAGAAATATTTATAAGATATATATCTGACAAAAAATTGTATAGAGACTATATTAAGCATGTACACCTCAATAATAAAAAGGCAAACAGCCTAATTTTTTTAATGGGCAAAATATATGAACTGTCACTTTACCAAACATAAATGAATCTTAGAAGTATCATATTGAGTGAAATAAGAAAAGCCTCCCCCAAAATAAAACATATACACTGAATTGCATTTATATACTGTTCACAAACAGGCAAAATTACACAATATTGTGTGGAGATGCACATATGGGTAGTAAAACTACAATAAAATCAAGGTCATTCTAATTATGAAACTAAGGATATCAGTTTCTTCCATAAAGGAATTAGATGGGAGTGATTTTCAAGAGACACACAGTGGGCCTTAAGGTGCTGGTAATTTCTTGAGCTGAATCATGACTATGCAGGTGTTTGCTTTATAATCACAGGTGTTCACTTTTTATAAAACTTATGAAAAATTTTAAGTAACACGAGTAGAATAAAAATAGAAAGCAAAAATTGCCAGCCACTAGAGAATAAAAAGGGATTAAAGAAGCCTTAGTAAACACATCAAAAACCCACAAAGATAGTGATTCCACAGAAAACGGCAGAATAGGGAATTCACAGTCCCCTCCCTCCATAAAAGCAACAGATAAACTAGCAAAAACTGTCAGAATCAACTTTGCAGGACTCTAGGAACTAGTCAAAATTTACAATAACCAGGAGAAAGTTTAATGAAAAAGGAAGCTGCTGCGTTGTAGTAAGAGAATGTTGTGGACTTTACAATTTCCCACCGATCATCTTCCACTTCCCAGATCAGCAGTGGCCATGAAGATGACATCCTGCATTCCTGGTTCAGGTTGCTAGTGCCAAAGGGAGCAACAGGAATTTTATTCTCAAATAGCTGTGATTGTCTTTCAACTAGTTGGGTAGCATTATGAAGCATCAGCGCAAGGGTTTGCATTTGTTTTGCTCAATTTACACCATTCCCAGGGTGGAGTGGCTTCCTAGGTGATTTTTGCAGAAAGTGTTTAAAGACAAACATTGGCTAAAGGAATCTTGAGCAAGAAATAGGTATGAGAAATAGACAAAGGAAAAATCATGGGAAGGAGGAAGTTGGTAAAGGAGATATGGGGAGGGAAGTGAATAAAAACTTTTGAAGCTCTTGCTTATAGGTGGGAATTGAGAAGGCAATGCAGTTGCCCAGGGCTAAACATATGCTCAGGAAAGGCCTGAGAAAACCCTAAGCTTTCACCTTTGAGTGACCCTCAGGCTTCTCTCAAACCGGAAGTGAAGGTTAAGGCCTGGCTAAGCAGTAAGAGTGCCACAACAGAAAGCCAATCTAACTAAATAGATTTTTTTTCCTGTTTAATATTTCTTTCTTTCTTTTTTTGGCTTCAGGCTTTTACAGAAACCATGTAAAACACTATCTGACCATTAAACTAATGCAATACAGATTTCAATGGCCACACATGACAAAGAATACAGACTTTATGGAAATAATTTAGAAGAGTCACTAAACAAACAAACAGCCAGTAGCAAGCAGCAACAGCAAGCCCAGGGAGGGTAATAATCTGATTTCCAGAGTTGCCACATTATACTATTCAAAATGTCCTGTTTTTAACAAAAAAATTTACAAAGCATGCAAAGAAACAAGAAAATATGACCCATTTACAGAAAAAAATTACTAATAGAAACTGTTCCTGAGAAAGCTTACATATTGGGCTTACGAGACAGTGATAGTAAGTCAGCTGCCTTAAATATGCTCAAAGAGCTCAAGGAAATCAAAGACAAAGAATTAAAGAAAATCAGGAGAATGATCTCTCACCAAAGAGAATATCAATAATGAGAGAGAAGTTATTGAAAAGAACCAAATTAAAATTTTAGAGCTGAAAAAGTACAATAACTGCATTGGAAAATTTACCAGAGAGGTTCAACAACAGATTTGAGCATACAGAAGAAAGAATCAGTGTACTAAAAAGATAGATTAAGGAAATCATCTAGTCTGAGGAGAAGAAAAAAAGAATGAAGAAAGTGAACACAGCCTAAAAGACCTATAACATCAAGCATACCAATATATGCATAATGAAAATTCCAGAAGGAAAGAATAGAAGGCAAAAAAGTATATTTGATAAAAGTGTGGCCAAAAATTTCCCAAAGTTTTCAAAAGGGATAAATATACACATCCAAGAAAATTCTACAAATTTCAGATAGCATAAACTCAAAGAGATCCACACCAAGACACATTACAATGAAATTATTGAAAAGCAAAGGCAGAGAATCTTGAAAGCAGCAAGAGAGAAGTGACTCACCATGTACAGAAGAGCCTCAATAAGATTAACAGCTTATTTCTCTTCAGAAATCTTGGAGGCCAGAGGCAGTAAAGTGCTGAAAGGAAAAACTTGTCAACAAAGAATTCCATATCTGACAAAACTTTCCTTCCAAAATAAAAGAGAAATAAAGACCTGGTCAAGTAAACAAAAGTTGATGGAGTTTACAACTTGTAGACCTGTCCCACAAGAAATGCTAAAGCGGGTCTTCAAAGCTGGAAAGAGTAACTCATTAGATAGTTATTCAAAACCATATGAGAAATGAAGAGCAACATAAAGCTATCTACATAGTTTAATTTAAAAGCCAGTTTCATAACTATTCTGGTTTGTAACTCATCTTTTTCCCCACATTATTTAAGAAGACAAATGCTTAAAACAATAATTATAAATCTATATAAATGGACACACAATGTATAAAGATGTGGCTTGTGACAGAAACAATATGGGAGGCTGGAGATGTAAATGAGCAGAGTTTTTGTATACTATTGAAATTAAGTTGGCATTCATTCAAATTTGATAGTTACAGACAAACTACTAAGATAAAAATTAAAAAAAAAAACAGAAAAGGAAATAAGGAAGGAATCAAAATGGTTCACAAGAAAAAAATGAACTAATCACAAAATATGGCAGTAATGGAGGACATTACCAACAAACATATGAAAAAAGCCCAACATCACTGATCATTCAAGAAATGCAAATCAAAACCACCATGAGATACCACCTCACACCAGTCAAAATGGCAATTATTAAAAAGTCAAGAAAAAATAGATGCTGGCAAGGCTGTGGAGAAATGGGAACACTTTTACCCTGTGGGTGGGAGTGTAAACTAGTTCAACCGTTGTGGAAGACAGTGTGGTGATTCCTCAAGAACCTAGAAACAGAAATACCGTTTGACCCAGAAATCGCATGACTGGGTATATACCTAAAGGAATATAAATCATTCTACTACAAAGACACATGCACATGTATATTTATTACAGCACTATTTACAATAGCAAAGACATGGAACCAACCCAAATGCCCATCAATGATAGACTGGATAAAGAAAATGTTGTACATATACACCATGGAATACTATGCAGCCATAAAAAGGAATGAGATCATGTCCTTTAGAGAGACATGGATGAAGCTGGAAGCCATCATCCTCAGCAAACTAACACAAGAACAGAAAACCAAATACCACATGTTCTCACTCATAAGTGGAAGTTGAACAATGACAACAAATGGACACAGGGAGGGGAACAACACATACCAAGGCCTGTTTGGGGGGTGGGGTGTCGAGGGGAGGGAACCTAGATGATGGGTCAAAAGGTGCAACAAACCACCATGGCACAGGTATATCTATGTAACAAACCTGCACGTTCTGCACAGGTATCCCGGAACTCAAAGTAAAATAAAAATAAAGAAAATAATCAACAAATCAGGAGTAGAAGAGCACTGACTCAACAGGATAAAGGACATGTATGAAAACTCCAAAGCTAACAATATACTCAGTGGCAAAAAAGTGTAAACTTCCCCCTAAGATAAAGGACAAAACAAAGATACCCACTTTCACTGCTGCAATGCAACACTGTAGTGGAAGTTCTATGAACAACAACTAGGCAATAAAAGGCATCCAAACTGGAAATGAAGAGGGAAAATCATCTCTTTTTAGAGATGCCATGTAGAAAATCCTAAAGAATCCCCCAGAAAACTATTAATTAATAAATGAATTCAAGTTGCAGAATATAAGATTAAAAGACAAAAATTTATTACACTTTTCTACATCAGCGATGAACAATGCAAAAAGAAACTTAGGAAGATAATTTCATTTATAATATCATTAAAAATTAAATAAATGTTTTAATGATTTAACCAAGTAAGTGCAAGGCATGTGTTGAAAATTATAAAATATTGCCGAAATAAATTAAAGAAAAAAAAATTTTTAAATTAAATAAGATGGGGAAAGGCGTGCCATGTTCATGGATTGGAAAATTCAATATTGTTAAGACACCAGTATTACTCAAAGAAATCTACATATTCAATTGAATCCCTATGAAAATCTTAAAGGACTTCTTTTTTTGCAAAAATGAAAAACTGATCCTAAAATTCATATGGAATTGTATTGGACTCTGAATAGCCAGAATAATAGGGGAAAAGAAAAACAAAGTTTGAGGACTTACACTTCCTTCTTTCAAACCTTACTACACCAATCAAAATAGTGTGGTACTAGCATGATGACAGACATATATATATATATATATATATATATATATATATATATATATAGATAGATAGATAGATATATAGATATATAGATATAGATATAGATATAGATATATATGATATATATCTGTATGTATAGCTGTATATGTACATATATCATTTATATACCTAGGTTCAATTGATTTTGAAATTGATTTTAATCCATTGATTTCGAATGGCACAAATATCATTCAATATGAAAATAATAGTCTCAAAAATGGTGCTGGAACAACTGGGTATCCATACGCAAAAGAATTAAGTTGGGCCCATTTATCATACCATAGGCAAACAGTGACCCAAAATGGGTCAATAATCTAAATATAAAAGCTAAAACCATAAAACTGCTAAAATAAAATATAGGGTAAATCTTCATGACCTTGGATTTGGCAATGGGTTTCTTATATGAAACCAAAAGCATGAGCTACAAAATAAAAATAGACACATTGGATTTCAAAATTAAAAATGGATAAATTTGACTACATCAAAATTAAAAATTTTTCTCTTTCAAATACACCATCAAGAAAGTGAGAAGACAACCCACACAATGGGAGAAACTAATTGCGAATCATATATATAACAAGGGCCTATTACTCAAAATATACAAGGAAATTTTACAAATTGACAACAAAATGACAAACAACCTAACTAAAAATTGAGCAGATTATTTGAACAGATATTGCTCTAAAGATATTCAAACAGCCAGCAAGCACATGGAAGTACATTCAATGTTATTAGTCACTGGAAAAACACAAATTAAAAACACACCTCACATCCACTAGGATGCTCATAATCAAAATGTCAGACAGTATCAAGTGTTGACAAGGATGTGGAGAAATTGAAACCCCTGTACATTGCTTGTGAGGATGTAAAATGGTTCTGTTAATTAAGAAAGCAGTTTGGCAGTTCCTCAGTTACCCTGTGACCCAGCAATTTCATTACTAGGTATATACCTGAAATACTTGAAAACAGGTACTCAAAAAAAGAAAAAAAAAAAAACACAGACACAAACGTTAATAGCAGCACTATTCACAATAGAAAAAAAAAGGTGGAAACAACCCGAATGCCTGTCAACAGATGAATGGATAAACAAAATGTGGTGTACACAAACAATAGCATACTATTCAGCCATAAAAAGGAATGAAGTACTGATACATGCTGTGGATTAACCTCTAAAACATGCTAATTTAAAGAAACCAGACACAAAAAAGCACATACTGTATGATTCCATGCGTATGAAACATTTACAAAGGGTAAATCTACTGAGATAGCAAGCAGAATAGTGGTTGCCAGGGGCTAGTGAAGGGGTAAATGAAGAAGGACTAATATGTATGAAATTTCATTTAGGGGTGATGAAAATGTTTTGGAACTACACAGAGGTGATGATTACACAACATTTTTTTTATTATTATACTTTAAGTTTTAGGGTACATGTGCACAATGTGCAGGTTAGTTACATATGTATACATGTGCCATGCTGGTGTGCTGCACCCATTAACTCGTCATTTAGCATTAGGTATATCTCCTAATGCTATCCCTCCCCCCACCCCACAACAGTCCCCAGAGCGTGATGTTCCCCTTCCTGTGTCCATGTGTTCTCATTGTTCAATTCCCACCTATGAGTGAGAATATGTGGTGTTTGGTTTTTTGTTCTTGCGATAGTTTACTGAGAATGATTGGAAATCATCATTCTCCCACCTTCTAAATATGCTTCATCTATGGTCTTCCCAATCTGGGTAAATTGTTCCACCATAAGCCAAGCCCATTCATTATACCTTCTAAATGTCTTTTAACTCTTCCCTCTTCTTTCTGGCTCCATTATTACTGCACAAGCCCAAACGCCATCCCAAAAAGCAACAGCAATGTACTTTGCACCACAAGTCAAGCTTAACTGACTTAGGGCTCACTGTTTTCTGTCTGAAGCTACTGTTCTTTGTTTTCCTACTACTTCCTGATTCTATGCTCCAGATCCATACATTAACTTGCCTACTTGACATCTTCATTTGAATGTCCCAAGTGCACCTCAGTGTAACATGCCCTGGACTTTTACCATCATCTTTTGCCAGGATTATTTCAAGGCATACTAATCGGCCTCCCTGCTTTTCACCCTTGGCCCTTTAATTAATTCTCTGCACAGCAAAGAGTAATATGTTTTACAATGTAAATCAGAACGATATCACTCCTCTGTTTAAAACCTCTCATCAGCTCCTTTTCCTTTTATGACAAATATCAAATTCTATTCGTGTGGCTTACTGGGGTCTACACACTCTGAACACTGCCTACTTCTCCAGTTCTGTCATATGTTGTTCTACCCAAATCTCATTGGACATACTATTTCCTTTGCCAACTCAGGCCTCAGCTTATTCTATTTCCTCTTCCAGAATATAATTTATCCACTAACCCCAACTCTTTTCACTTGGTTAACCCCTATCCTTCCATAAGTTCATCGTTTAAACTTCACATCCTTTAGATAAACATTTATTTCCCTCACCTCTAACAATGGCAGGTCCCTTCCTCTGGCTTCCGCAGAATCATGTGCTTTTCCTTTGAAACACTTAGAACATGTCTAACTATTTACTGCTACATATTTAATATCTTTCCCACCCCTAAAAGGCTAAGTTCCAAGAGGGCAGAGATTTTTATCTTTTTATTCAACATTATATCCCCAATGCCTAGTACAACACTTGGAACATAGCTGGAGTTCAATAAGTATCTGTGAACTTACTTCAACAGTCCTACAATTGTTCCCCTTGCCTTTATTTTTCCCTTTCTATCTCCCCTAAGGTGCAAAATTTGAACAAAACAATTAACTGGTTGCCCAATGCCCTTGATATAAAGGCTAAACACCTCAACATGACATAGAATATCGCATGATCAAGATACTGCTTGTCACTAGAGATTCATCTCCCAACACTCCCTATTCCCACACCAGGCTCCATACTGAACTATTTGCAGTTTCCCTGAGCACTTGGCATATGCCTGCTACAAATAAATCAAATATTTTCAAAATAAATAAATATTTCTTCCAAACAGTTCTAAAATCCACATATCTCTCTCTATTCCACTATCACTATCCTAGTCTAGACACTCGTAATATCTCATGTATTCTTCTTCAGCAACCTCTTAACAGACTTACTCCCAAGTCTGCCCTTTATGCCACTGCCAGAAAGATCTTACTAACATATAAGTTTCAATATGACAATCTCCTCTCTCTCTTAAATTCCCTCAAAGAGTCTAGCCACTTATAAAATGAAATCTAAATTCATTAGTATGACACACATGATTGGTTATATGAGGTCATCAGTTTACGATGCTTGGCAAAATGTCTGTCATACTAAAAGTACTCATAAATGTTAGTCACTGTGTTCTTTTGCTGCAGGAACAAACAAACCCCCCGCATCAATCTCAACATTTGTTGCTCAGGGTCTTCAGGCCAGCTGTGATTTGATAGGGTTCACCTGGGCTCAGGTTCAAATGTGCTCCATGTAGTCTCATTCTGTGACCCAGGCAGAAGAAACAGCAGTCTCATTCTACAACCCAGGCAGAAGAAACAGCAGCTATCTGGGGATATGTTCTTCTCATAGATGGTGGTAAGAGCACAAAAGGCCAAAGCAAACTGTGTGGGCACATTTAAAACCTCTAATGGGACATGGCATATTTCTTACTTGCTCACATTACATTGGCCAAAACTCTCCACTCATCACATGACTAAACTGAAAGTCATTGGGGCAGGGAAGTAAACTGCACCCACTAAGTGGCACGGTAAAGTCACATGGATGAAAAACACTAATATAGAGAGAAACTAGAATAGTTGAAAACAACATTCTAATCCACTAGAGCTTCCATTATTATTCAAAGAACTTCACCAACTTATTCCTACCTACTTTTGCGGTTACATCTTCTGCTACTGCCAAACTTGAAATTTACATTGCAGTAATACTGTGGTAGCTAGTCTCTAAAAATGAGCCCCCAATGATGCGTGCCTTTTGGTATTGGTGGTATTGTATAGGCTCCATCCCTTGAATCTTGGGTGAATATGTTATTCATTAGCCACCAATAGAAGTAGAAGTGACACTGCATGACTTCTTAGCCAGGTCAGAAGAAGTCTTGCAGCTTCAACCTTGCTCCCTTAGAAAAGCACACTTGTGATTCTGTCTCTCAGGAAGCTCCCTCTTGAAACTAGTTATTATATTATGGGAATCCCAAGCCATGTGGAGACCATATGTGTGCACTTCAGTCAACTACCCCAGCTGAACTCTCAATGAATGGCCAGTATCAACTACCAGTAATATGAGTGAGCAATATTGTACATTTACTCCAGTTGAGTCTTCAAAAGACTGTAGCCCCAGCTGAACAACTAACTACAACTGCCAAAGATACCTTAAAAAGGAACCACAAATCTGAATCTGGTCAACTCACAGATTTGTAAGAGAAGGTTATAAATTGCTTTTTAAAAAAATATTACTTTGTTTTGGCATCCTGTGTTTATTTCAGTTGTGGCAAAATACACATAACATAGAACGTAGCATCTTAACTATTTTTAAGTGTAGAGTTCAGTGGTGTTAAGTACATTTACATTGGCATGCAACCAATCTCCAGAACTGTTCTCATCTTGCAAAAGTGAAATTCTATACCCTTTGAACGATATTCTTTTCTCTCCCCTGCAGCAACCACCATTCTACCTTCTGTTTACATGAATTTTGCTATGCTAGGTAACTCATATAAGTGAAATCATACAATATTTGTCTTTTTGTGACTGGATTATTTCACTGAGCATAACATCTTCAAATTTCATTCAAGTTGCAACATATGCCAGAATTATCATCCTTTATAAGGATGATATAATAGTCCATTGTGTGGATAAACCATGTTTTGTTTATTCATTTATCTGTTGATGGATACTTGGGTAGCCTGCACCTCTTTGCCATTTTTAATAATGCTGCTATAAACATAAGTGTATATATATACATATATATATCTTCAAGATCCTGCTTTCAAGTTTTTTGAATATGCACCCAGAACCGAAACTGCTGGATCACATGATAATTCTATTTTTATTTTTTAAGAACTGCTTTACTGTTTTCCAGAGCAGCTGTGCCATTTGACGTTCAAACCAGCAGCTCACAAGGTTTCCAATTTTTCCACATCCTTGCCAACACTTGTTATTTTCTGTTTTTGTTTTTTTTTTTAAATAGCGGTCATCCTAATGTATTTTAAATGGTAAAATATTAAATTATGAAGTGGTTTCTCACACAGCAATAGAAAACTAAAAAGGAACTTAGGACCTAAAGTGAAGTGATGTCTCACCAAAAACTAACACATGTGGCTTCAGCATTGGGACCAGACAGCAGGCAGAAACTAAAAGGACATTAAATAGACTATTAGTTAAGGTTGGAAGAGACTCAGGAAAACTGTTATGAAAAGCTAGAAGGGCCTTGAGAAGACCATGGCTTGGAAAACAGTGAGAAAAGCATTATTGGAGGAAAGATAAGGGGGCCCTTGCCAACACTCACCTGGGCATCATTGAAAATAAATCTGGGGCCCAATCAACTCATTAATATGGCTGGGAAGATTTCCAGGCAGGATATAAAAAATAGCAACTAGTTTCTTCCTCTTCATCTAGAGTGATCAACTAAAGGATGAACTGTTCAGTTTTCAAGCAGATGTGGAAGAAACATAAAGCAGCCAGGGTATGCTGGTTATAGAAATAACTGTTTAAGGAAGGGTATTAGTTCATTCTCACACTGCTATAAAGATACTACCTGAGACTGGGTCATTTATAAAGAAAGGAGGTTTAATTGACTCACAGTTCTGCATGGCTGGGGAGGCCTTAGGAAACTTACAATCATGGTAGAAGGCAAAGGGGAAGCAAGGCACCGCTTACATGGTGGCAGGAGACAGAGAGAGAGACCAGGGGAAACTGCCACTTTTAAACCATCAGATCTCATGAGAATTCCCTCAGTATCACAAGAACAGCATGGAGGAAACCATTCCCATGACCCAGTCACCTCCCACCAGGTCCCAGGCTAAATACATGAGGATTATAATTCAAGATGAGATTTTGGTGGAGACACAGCCAAACCACATCATTCTCCCCTGGCCCCTCTCAAATCTCATGCCCTTCTCACATTTCAAAACACCATCATGCCTTCCAAACAGTCCTCCAAAATCTTAACTCATTCCAACATTAACCCAAAAGTCCAAGTCCAAAGTCTCATCTGAGACAAGGCAAGTTCCTTCTGCCTATGAGCCTGTAAAATCAAAAAGAAGTTAGTTACTTCCAAGATACAATGGGGGTACAGGTAATGGGTAAATGTTCCCATCCCAATTGGGAGAAATTGGCCAAACAAAGGGGCCACAGGCCCCATGCAAGTCCAAAACCTGGAAAGGAACTCATTAAAGCTCCAACATAATCTCTTTTGACTCTATGTCTCACATCCAGGGCACGCCGATGCAAGGGGTGGGCTCCTACAGCCTTGGGCAGCTCTGTCCCTGTGGCTCTGCAGGGTTCAGCCCCTGTGGCTGCTTTCATAGATGGGTATTCAGCGACTGTGGCTTTTCCAGGCTCATGGCAAAAAGTTGTTAGTGGATCTACCATTCTGGGATCTGGAGGATGGTGGCCCTCTTCTCACAGCTCCACTAGGCAGTGCCCCAATGGGGACTCTGTGTGGGGGCTCCAATCTCACATTTTCCCTCTGCATTGTCCCAGTAGAGGTTCTCCATGAGTGCTCCACCCCTGCAGACTTCTGCCTGGACATCTAGGCATTTCTATACATCCTCTGAAATCTAGGTGGATGCTGCCAAGCCTCAACTCTTGACCTCTGTGCACCCGCAGGCCCAATACCACATGAAAGCCACCAAGGCTTGGGGCTTGCACCCTCTGAAGCAATGGCCCAAGCTATACTTTTGCCCCTTTTAGCCATGGATGGACCTGGAGCAGCTGGGACACAGGGCAACCTGTCCCGAGGCTGTACAGAGCACCAGGGCCCAGGGCCCAGCCCACAAAACCATTTTTCCCTCCTAGGCCTCTGGGCCTGTGATGGGAAGGGCTGCCACTAAGGTCTCTGAAATGCCCTGGAGGCATTTTTCCCATTGTCTTGACTAACATTCAGCTCCTCATTAATTAGGCAAATTTCTACAGCCAGCTTGAATTTCTGCCCAGAAAATGGGTTTTTCTTATCTACCACATGATCAGGCTGCAAATTTTCCAAACTTTGATGCTCTGCTTCCCTTTTAGATAAAAGTTCCAGTTTCTGATAATCTCTTTGTGAATGCATATGACTGAATGCTTTCAGAATCAGCCAGGTCATAACTTGAATGCTTTGCTGCTTAGAAATTTCTTCTGCCAGATACCCTAAATCATCTCTCTCAAGTTCAAAGTTCCACAGATCTCTAGGGCAGGGGCAAAATGCCACCAGTCTCTTTGCTAAAAAAATAGCAAGAGTGACCTTTGCTCCAGTTCCCAATAAGTTCCTCATCTCTATCTGAGACCACCTCAGCCTGGACTTCATTGTCCATATCACTATCAGCATTTTGGTCAAAACCATTCAACAACTCTCTAGGAAGTTCCAAACTTCCCCACATTTTTATGTCTTCTTCTGAGCCCTCCAAACTGTTCCAACCTCTGCCTCTTACCCAGTTCCACAGTCACTTTCACATTTTCAGGTTATCTTTATAGGAGTACCCCACTCTGCTGATACCAATTCTCTGTATTAGTCTGTTCTCATATTGCTACAGAGATACTACCTGAGAATGAGTAATTTATAAAGAAAGGAGGTTTAATTGACTCACAGTTCTGCATGGCTGGGGAGGCCTCAGGAAACTTACAATCATGGTAGAAGGCAAAGGGGAAGCAAGGTACATCTTACATGGCAGCAGGAGAGAGAGATTAGGGGAAACTGCCACTTTTAAACCATCAGATCTCGATAGAACTCCCTCACTGTCATGAGAACAGCATAGGAGAAACTGCCACCATGATCCAATCACCTCCCACCAGGTCCCTCCTTTCACACATGAGGATTACAATTCAAGATGAGATTTGGGTAGGGAAAAAGAGCCAAATTATATCAGGAGGAAAGATTAAATCCTTGGCCAGATGACAGGATTTCAGTAAGATCCTTAGTTAAGACCTCAGAAAGATCTGTGCTTATAAATCAATCTATAAGTTCCTTATAGAAAACTCAAGGTACCAACAAAAGACCATTCTAAGGATCTTAATGGCATACCTCTAGACCCCTGTCATAAACAACAGAGATTTTAAAAATCTTCACAGTCTTGTTCCACAGCAGCCCAGAGGTCCAAGATAGAAAAAAGCCTGTCTCAAAGAGATTTGTGGATACAGTTTTGTCTAATTATACTCTTTACTATATACTGCTTCAAAGGTGTGACATGCTCATACTCTTTCCTCTTTTCACCATTCCCTTCTTCTCTCCCTGATTAAAACCTACTCAACATTCATTCAATGAAAACTTAATAAGCTACAGTTAGGTACAAGGCACTATTACTTTAAAAATATACTTAAAAAATGTACAAGATCTTTTGTAAAAAAGCTAACAGAATTTGACTACTATAGTTGGACTATAGGATTAGGAATAATGTTCATTTTTTCTTCTCTTTTGACCCACCTATATTTCTAAATTTCTTACAGTAAACTATATTGACTATTTTTTTAAAGATAGAGTAGAAGATTCTCTTCCCTAGCAGAACCCATATTTTGTTGGAGGTGACAATGTGTCCAGGTAAAAAACTCACTTCATCAAGCTCACTTGCAGTAACTGTTGGCCATGTGGTTTTATTCTAGCTAATGAAACAAAAGCTGAAGTTTTCTGGGAAAGCTTTTCATTTTTCTAATGAAGACACCACATCTTCCTGCTATCCTAGTTCTTCTTCCTGCTAGGAATGCAGGCATAATGCCTATAAATGTAGCAGGCAACTTGCAGCCATAATGATGAAAGAAAAAGTTGGATTAAAAGTTTGAGCCTGGGTTGATGATACTATCATGGAGCAACCACACCAACTATAGATTACCTACCTCAATATTTATTTTATTTTTATTTTTTAAGTTTATTGTGGTATGGTACAATTTACATAAAATTCACCCTTTATAAGTGTACAATGATGTGATTTTTGACAAATATATACAAACAGATATACATTACCACCAGCATAATTAAGATGTAGAATGTTTCCATCACCCCCAAAAAGTTTTCTCATGACTTTCATACTCAATCCTCTCCCCAAGCTCCCGGCCTCTAACAAATGCTAACCTATTTTCTGCCTCTATAGATTTGTCATTTCCTGAAAATTACATAAATTGAATCATATAGTATATACCCTTTTGTATGTGGTTTAACTTAGCGTAATGCTTTCTTGATTCATCCATGTTGTTGCACATATCATTAGTCTGTTCATATTTATTTCTTAGAAGTATCTCATTGTTTTAGATATACCACAATATGACCATTCATTCACCAGCTGATGTGCATTTGGATTATTATCATATTTGTCTATTTAGAATAAACCAGACGTGAACATTCATGAGGTCTTTCTGTGGACATATGTTTGCATCTCTCTTGGGTGAAACACATAATCACATCTCTTTATGGATTATCTATTCCATTCCATTTATCTATATGTCCATCTTTGTACACCATACTGTCTTCAGTACAGTAAATTTACAGTAAGACTTTTTTAATATTTAAATTTTAGGTTCAGTGGGTACATGTGCAGGTTTGTTACATGAGTAAATTGCATGTCACTGAGGCTTAGTGAATGAATGACTCCATCACCAAGGTAGTGAACATAGTACGTGATAGGTAGCCTTCCAACCCATGCCTCTCGCCCCACCATCCCTCCTCAAGCAGTCCCCAATATCTATTGTTCCCATCTTTGTTTCCATGTGTATTCACTGTTTAGCCCCCACTTGTAAGTGGGACTATGAAGTATTGGTTTTCCGTTCCTGCTTAATTTGCTTAGGATAATGGACTCCAGCTGCATCCATGTCGCTGAAATGAACATGATTTCCTTCTTTTCTTTGGCTGCATAGTATTCTATGGTGTATATGTACCACATTTTCTTTATTCTGTCCAGCATGGATGGGCATCTAGATTGATTCTATGTCTTTGCTATTGTGAATAGCACTGTGGTGAAGATATGAGTGCAAGTGTCTTTTTGGTAGAAAAATTTATTTTCCTTTGGGTATGTATTAGCGTTCTCCAGAGAGACAGAACCAACAGGATAGATGTCTATATATAAAGGAGTTTATTAGAGAATTTGCTCATACTACTACAAGGCAAATTCCTACAATAGGCATTCTGTACGCTGGGGAAAGAGAGAAGCCAAAAGTGGCTCAGTCTAAGTCCAAAAATCTCAAAACCAGGGAAGCCAATAGTGCAGCAAAAGGCCCAAAAGTTTCTGGAAAGCCACTTTGCTGGAAGTCCCAGAGTCCAAAGTCTGAAGAACCTGGAGTCCAATGTGCAAGGGCATAAGGAGTGGAAGCAAGCATCTGGTATGGGGAAAAAAAGAGAGCCAGAAGACTCAGCAAGCAAGCTATCCCCCTTTCTTCCACCTGCTTTGTTTTAGCTGTGCTGGCAGCCAATTGCATGGTGCCACATTGAGGGTGGGTCTTCACTCCCAGTCCACCAGCTCGAATGTCAATCTCCTCCGGCAACACCCTCACAAACACACCCAGAAACAACACTTTACCAGTTATATAGGAATCCCTCAATTCAATCAAATTGACACCTAATATTAACCATCACATATACCCAATAGTGAGATTGCTGGGTCAAATGGTAGTTCTGTTTTAAGCCCTTTTGGCAATCTCCAGACTGCTGTCCGCAGTGGCTGAATTATTCACATCTCCACCAGGAGTGTATAAACAACCTCACCAGCATCTGATGTTTTCTGACTTTTAAGTAATAGTTATTCTGACTGGTGTGAGATGGTATCTCATTATGGTTTTGATTTGCATTTCTCTAATGATTAATGATAATGAGCATTTTTCATATATTTGTTGGCCACGTGTATGTCTTCTTTTGAGAAGTGTTTGATTATGTTCTTTGCCCATTTTTATTGGGGTTGTGTTTTGCTTGTGAATTTGTTTAAATTCTTTAGATTCTGAATATTAGACCTTTGTTGGATACATAGTTTGCAAATATTTTCTCCCATTCTATAGGTTGTCTCTTTACTCTGTTGATAGTTTCTTTTGCTGTGCAGAAGCTCTTTAATTATATCTCACTTGTCAATTTTTATTTTTGTTGTAATTGCTTTTGAGGACTTAACCATAATTCAGATGTGGATGGGTGTAGCTCCTAACACACATGGTAAACTGAGGTAGCTGACAGATGTTTGAGTTGTGCACACATGTGCATTTTGTGCATTCCTACACTGCTCACTACAGGTGGAGTTTTCTGTGTTCCCCTAGTGTTTTTCTTGAACAAAATAATGCATACGTGAAATGTGCATTATGGTCAAATTGTTCCCTAATATATCAATTGTGTTGAAACAAATTCAAATTTTCAAAGCAAGAGTTATAACATAACTGACTGCATGTTAGACGTTAAAATAGACATGTCTAATAGGCAGTTGGATTTATAAGTCTAGAGTTTATGGCAGAGGTACCAACTAAATATAATTTAGAAGTCATCAACATATATACGCTATTGAAAGTCATGCAACTGGTTGAGACTACCTAGGGAGTGCATATAAATATAGAAGACATCAAGTTCTAGGACATTCCAACGTTTAGAAGTCAGGAAGATGAGGAGGAATCAGGAAAGGATTCTGAGAAGGAATAGTCGAAATGGTTGGAGGAGAATCAGGGAAGTGGGCTTTCCTAGAAGCCAAGTGTAGAAAGTTTTTCAAGGAAGAGGGAGGAACCAACTGTATCGAATAAAGCAGATAGGTCAAGTATAAAAAAGGACTAGGAAACATTCTTGTAATCTGGTTACCTGGAGGGGACTGGTAACTTTGACAAGAATAGTTGAGTAGAGTGGTGAGAAAGAAGGCCTGATGGGAAATAGTTGAAGAGGAATTGGGAAAAAAAAGGACTGAAGACAGCTAGTACGGGGAATTATTTTTCGAGGGAAAGAAAAATACAGCAAAGCTGGTATGATACATCAGAATTTTTCTTTAAGATTGAAGAAATTACAGCTTGTTTATATGCTGATCAGAACAGAGGTCCTGGGTGTAGATGCAGGTAGGTGGAAAAGATGTTGATAGTATGTGGAGATTCCCTTTGATTGCCTCTGTTTTCTCAGTGAAGCAGAAAGCAAGATCATTTTCAGCTGAGAGTGAGGCAGGAAAGGAGGTGTTGGCATTCCAGGAGAAAAGAATCAAACCATTGTTCAGGAGAGTTTGAAAGGACTAGGGTAACAGAATAACATATTTATTTTTTAAAGTTCCTAGATAGAACCACTGGATCAAAGGATGCATATAATTTTCATTTTGTTAGATACTGTCAAATTGCCCTCTGACAGTACATTAGTTCACATCCCCACATGTGACAATGCCTGCTTTCTCAAGCCTCTGCCAACACAGTATGCTATCAAGCATTTACGCCCTTTTCAATCTGAGGGTTGAAAATGATATCTCAGTGCAGTTTTAGTTTGAAATGTTCTTATTTATGTGAAATTGAGCATTTTTTCTTATGAATAGTGACAAAGGACCACAGATAAAACTAGATCCTTCCAGGGAGCTGTGACTTGGTAATTTAGGCAAACAATTTCTTTTCATTTTCTGTCTCCATCCACTCAACCAGTATTTACTGAGTGTCTACTATGGATTATACGCTGTTCTATTGACCAAGGGATACAGCAGTGAACAAAAAAAAATCAATATCAGAAGCTAAGCTGGGAGCCATA
The DNA here is from genome assembly GCF_000001405.40 of Homo sapiens. Classification (NCBI taxonomy): domain Eukaryota; kingdom Metazoa; phylum Chordata; class Mammalia; order Primates; family Hominidae; genus Homo; species Homo sapiens. Next base: position 152,537,019 of record NC_000023.11, read on the forward strand.
TCCCAGAATCACAGAAACTCGAGGGAAGAAGAGGTCACAGGTAACCGCCATGATCAAGACAAGAACCCAGGGCAGAAATCAAGCTTTCTGTTAGGTGCTATGGAGAGGAACACTAAGATTTTTGAGCAGGCAAATGATATAAAATCGAGCTGAGCTTTAGGATGACAAATCAACCCATTTGTTTGTGGATTAAGGATTAAGGAAAAGCAGCAGCTGGTTCATGGGAAGTACTTAGTAAATGTGAAAGGGGAAAAAAAAGGACTTTCCATGAGGGAAAGGTGGCTACAGATACAATAGAAGTCCTCTTCTTCACAGAACTCTGAATCAGTTGGTCTTGTAGGTACTCAGAGAAAAATTGAATATAGAGGAATTAACTACTAAAAGCTGTGCTCAGCCACTCTCCCAGGTCCCCTGGACTCCCTGTGATTTTCCAGGCATTGTAGCAATGGGTGATTCTAGAGCGGAACTGGAGGCACAATGCCTATTTAAAGATATATTTTCAGCCTTAAAGAATTCCTCCTGGCAATGCTCTCAGCTGCAGCCCTTGGGAATTGATGCAAATTTCCACTCAGGTATCAAATTACATATGCTGAACGATGTAATTCAAACTTATCTGAACCAAGTTCCTCAGTGCTAAGCTGACATGCAAACCAAAAAAGCCATGCTATTTGAGTAGTTTCCTTGATTTCTCCTTCCACTGGCAGTACCCACATGTCTACAATTCCAGTCAATCTTGTAAACTGGAAAACTTCCCAATCAAAATAGGAAGCATTCATCAAATATAATCATAAACTCCTGTCCTGGAACTCCTTGTGGTGTCCCTGGAAGCTGAAGATGTCGTTTGGGAAAGCACTTAGCCAGGCAGCAATATTGCTCAACCTTTCCCCTCTCCTGGCACCCTGGAATTCTCTTGCAAAAAGTTGCCAAGTCATAAATCACTAGAGCTGTGTTGAAGTTTGAAAATTTTTAGTTTCCCTAAACCTCCTTCCAGTCCTCACAAAGTCCAACTACATGGCTGTTTTAGGCGCCTACACTGAGATTCCTGCTCATTTCGACACAAATCTTGATAACCCCAACATCAATCCCTCCCTAGTGTGAAGTAATCTGAGCAATTCTCTGTTCTTGTAAAACAAGAACCTGATTTCCCATGTATTGGTTATTTAGCAATGAACTCATTACTTCATCACTGAGGATACATAGCAACCTTAGCAACCTTTGGATGGTTGTGAAGAAAAAGTGAATTATCATGTACTACATGTCTTCTAAGTGTCAGGCACTGTGTTGGGTGTTTATAAAAGTTATCTCATTTTGGTCAGGATCATGACTGTAATGTAAGATACTCTGTAAACATTAAACACTCTAGAATATAAGAAATTATTATTGTGGGGTATTAATGCTGCAATCCTTCCTTTACAATGAGAAAATTCACAGAAAGCATTCCCATAGTGTCTCATACTTTTCTCAAGATCCGTAGTCCTAACAAAAGGCAAATGGTGATATCACATATGTCTGCATTCGCTCATTGGACTGTTAGCAATCAGAGGGCAAAGACTAGGTGTTATTTTTCCTTTGTCCACAGCCAAGCAAAATAAGCAGTGCCTAGGTCAAAACAGGTGCCTAGAAAATGTGTGTTAAGTAATTTGAAGGCAATTCAGGGTGAGGAGGTCAGACACTAATTGACAATGCTGATGAATGTGATGACTGATTGATAAAGATGACAGAAGTGCCATGCTTAGAAACAATTCTTATCCTTACCATGGCCTGGAACCCTCTAGTATCCTTCTTCTGCTAACTTCTGCTAACTCACTATGATCCAAACACAGCAGCCTTCTTGCTATATTTCAGACATACCAAGCAACCCCTACCGCAGGACCTTTGCCTTTGCTGCTCTTCATGGCTTACTCTTACTTCATTCAGGTCTCTGTTCAAATGACACATCTTCAGAGAAAACTGTTCTGACTGTAATTTCTAAAACAGAATGCCTGAAATCTTGCTAGTTCTTTACCCTGCTCTATTTTTATTAATCACACTTACCAATACCTAACATCATGAATCCAATAGTTTGCTTGTTCCACTAATGTATAAGCTTCAATTAAGAGAGAGATGTTTTCTTACTCACCATGGCAACTCCAGCACCGGAATAACGCCTGGCATGCAGCAGGTACTCAAAACTTTGTTCAAAGAACAAACAAATTGATGAATAATTTAGGTCTGAGAGTTAATTGCCAGGTCAAGACCCCTGTGGCTTAAAGATTCCTGATGCTTTTTTACATCATACTTAAAGTAAAAGTGTAGAGCACGACATATTGCTAATAACAAACAGGTTGCTCAGCCTTCTAATCTCTAGATCCTTCTGGAGCTATGTAATTTGGAAAGTAAAATTGAATTCCACATCGGTTTATCCAAAAATAATCCTTGAATGATTAAAAATATGAATTCAAAATCCAGATTGGCAGCAAAAGTTAAGACAATCAACACTAAAAGAATAAACTAATTCGGATAGTCCTAATTTGCCTTCAGAACAGAACAAAAATGAAAACATCTTAATCAAATACAATAATTTTCCTTCTCTAACTGACCCAGCATGCGCAGAAAATCTGCCAACACAAATTCCAGTTGTGTTCAGTAGGATGAGAATGACATGCCAGAAAATCTGACAAGTCAAGAGGGGTAACAGAAATGGAGCCTTTGCCCAAGAGAGAAGGGGAAGTGTGTGCGTAGGGGTGGTTCATTCAAAATATGGAACATGACTTTGTGATTAAAAATGTATATGATGCTCAGAAACCCCTTTTGATTTTTAAAATCAAAAGCCTGTAATATTCTTGCAATAACTTTAAGATATCATAGATTTTACAGATAGCCATGAGATTACTAGCTTAAATCTAGATATTTCTTTAGAGCAGTGAAGGGGAGCTTGACCAAGTCTTTGTGTGAGCTGTTACCCTTGGCCTTAAGGAGACCACCACTTAACTTCAAGAAACATAAAATTTAACCAATCTAATAAATAGGTGTCAGATGTAACAGCTGGGAATCTTCTTCTAGTAGAAGACAGATGTTAGTAGAAGACACTGGAACATTGACTTCCACATTGGTGTCCCAATAAATGCACCCACTTCAGTTCCTCCTTACTCTTCAATCCCATGGACTTTGCTTTATCAGCATTTCATTTCAGCCACCTACCACCCAAACCCAATTTTATGATAGAGCAAGAACACCTGAACTATACTGACTGTAACCACCAACAAGAGAGAACAACCCTCCTGTTATTGAATGTTCATAATTTTTTAGTAAGGATGTCACGGATTCTGTTCAGACAAAGAATTGCTATACTGTGGGCCTATAACCAGAGAGGTTTTTAAGCTACTTTTATTGTATGTCATTTTGGGTATCCAAGAAACAGCTTTTAACAAAAAGTTAGGAACACAAGAAATTCATTGGGGAGTAATGCCTGTGAAAGCTGAAAAGGGAATAAAGCAGATGAGCAGAAAGGGCCTTCAGATTGCCTTACAGATATGATACCTGTGAAAGGAAAGGAGGAGGAAATCAAGATTTAGCAGGAAGAGCTTCACATCAAACTGCATATCTGAGAAAGTCTTGGAAAACCCAGTGAGAAGCTCTGGAGCAAAGATTGTCCATTAGAGGCATCCCCTAAAGGACAGGCACTAGCAACCACATCATGCCCAATCATTGGCTAAATACCACTCAGTAAGTGTGGCCTTCCCCCACACTCTGAGGCAGATCCTGAAGGTGCTGCACCTGGAGGATGCCAACTCACTGCATCCCCTGCATATGAACAGCAGGTTCTTTCTTGAAGGGTGATCTGAGGAGTGAACTTTCATGACTGCCACATCTGGGGATCAGATCTCACCTGGAAGTTACAGACATTCATTGTTTCAATTGGCTGTGAATGAGGCAGGTCTCACAAATTAGAAACCAGAGCTCAATACGAGAATCCTAAGTAGGTGGCAATGTTAGAGCCTGGACTTTTGCACGCGTTGAAAAAGAAAATACATTGACCAGTCTTTGAAAGATAGAAAATAAGATGACTCTTACCACATGAAGATTAATTAGTGGGGTAGAGGCCAGGCCAAGGAACTGAAGACATGCTTGCTGTTTAAGGATTGATGTTAGTTAACAACATACGTAATTTAGAAAATTGGGTTTGAGAACCTTATGCCATTGGGATTTTTTTAACTGCAATTTTCATTGAGATTATTGTAGATCCCTTTGCAGCTGCAAAAAATAATGCAGAGAATTCCGTGTACACTTTATCAAGTTTCCCCCGATGGTAACATTTTGCAAAAGCATAATATCACAACCAAGATATTGATATTGATATAATCCACTGATCTTATTCAGAGTTCCCTAGTTTTACCTGTACTCATTTCTCTGTTTGTGTGTGTGTGTATGTGCACGTGTGTGTGTGTGACACCACCATCACAGTCAAGATACTGAACATCTCCATCACCACAAGATCCCTCATATTGCAGCCTCACTCACTTTGCTCCCACATTTTTATCCCTATCTGTAGCCCCTGGCAATTACCAATCTTTTCTCCATTTCTCAAAATTTCTCCCTTCAAAAACATTAGATACATAATTAAATCATCCATTATGTAACCACTTGAGATTGGCTTTTTCACTCTGCATAATGCCCTTGAGATTCATCCAAGTTGTTGCATGTATCAATAGTGTATTCCTTTTTGTCACTGGTATGATATGGATGTGCTACAGATTGTTTAACCATTTACCCATTGAAGGACATCTTGGTGTTTTTCCCCAATTTTGGGCTACAAACATTGTCGTATAGATTTCTGTGTGAATGTAAGTTTTCATTGCTCTGGGATAACTGCCCAGAAGTGCTGAGTTATTGCTGAGTTACGTTGTAGTTGCATGTTTTGTTTCTTAAGAAATTACTAAAATGTTTTCCAGTGCAGCTATACCATTTTACATTCTACCAATAATGTAGAAGTGACCCAATTTCTCTGCATCCTCACCAGCATTTGGTATTGTTATTATGTTTTATTTTAGCCATTCTGATAAATGTGTAGCAATGTCTCACTGTGGCTTTCATTTGTGTTTCCCTAAGGCTAACAATGTTGGACATCTTTGCATGTGGTCATTTGTATTTTCACAATGTATTGGCTTCTCTTTATTTAGCCAAGTTAGTTTTGAAGAGAACAATACAATTCAACTAAACAAAGGAGAGTCAAGGCAAGGAGAGTGTATGATCAGGTGAGACTAGAGTTTTAAAGGGGGACATTTGTCCATTCCAAGATTTTGTCCAAATTATTTTTTCAGCTTCAACTCACGTTTTGCATCCAATACAACTCATGTTCCAAAAAAAAATGTCCAGTGCTCCCTATATATACCCCATACTTTCTGGCATCTGTGTTTTCTCACATTATTTTCTCTATTTGTTTCTCCATCTCCAAAGTCGAATTCCAAGAATCACCAAGTTCCAGAGGCTACCCTCTCAATGGAACTTTCCTTGATGCCAGCAGCTGGAATTCATCTCCCTCATGTGAACATTCCTCACAACTTTCTAGAAAGGTCTCCATTGTTGCTTTGTATTGCCATTATGTGTCATGTATCCTGACTTTCCAATTCGGCTGTGAATCCAGGAGCTAGCTGGTGGTGACTAGGCCAGGTCTTTTATCTCCTAGTCTAATCATCTTGCCTTGATCAAGCTCTGCCCACTAAAGTGCAATTGTTAAAGATCAAATACAGGGTGTCCTTTCGGTAGGAAACAATCCTCTACCTCGTTATCCAAAGAAGTCACTCAGGGTCACACAGCATTTAAAATACTATCAGTGTGTGCCATTTTTTACATTCAATAATTTTTCTTCACATCAAAATTTGAATAATATTTTTATTGTCAAAAAATCACCAGATAAATGGGTAAATTAGTCTCTCCCTCAAAAAAAGAGAACCAGGGATGTATACAATAAGCACAAGAAATGGATTAAATAATTATCAAAAAACAAACAGGGAAAAATAGAAATCAGATGGGACAATGGATATTTTGTGATGCTAGAAAGATTACAGAGAATACTGATAGGGAGAAGGCTATACAACCTCAGAATTTTCACACTGTACATCTTTAAAACCTGGTCTCATTGGATTTTTTAGCTTTTATTTTGTGAGAATAAATTTCTCCACAACATTTATCAAAAATAAAAAGCTATGATTAGGTATAACTTTGGAGGTAAAAATAATATGAAAAACTTAGTGAAATATAAAGAGAATAAAATCACCAATCTGTACACTTAATGTATGAATTTTATTGTATGTAAATGAAGCTTTAATACAACTTACAAACCAAAAAGTAAATGAGATGGAGGTTACTATAGTACACAGACTAGTCTGAGAAGACTTCATCAAAAGAGAACATTTTTTCTGATCATATTTAATCTCTAATCCTTTTATTTCAGTTCCAGAGATTAGGGTGTGAACATTTACTCCACCCTTTTGCCTTACTCTCTACCTTCTCTTCCAACCAAAAAGCATGGTGGGAGAGAAGCCCTCTTATTCCCAAATTGTGGAAAGCAAGCTGGAGGTAAACTCCTTCATTGTCTAATAAGTTTCCCTCACCATCCCCTGCAAGAGAAAAAGAGTAACTTTTATTGCCTGCCAGAGTTCTGTGATTCATTCTTATTTATAATTAACAACCTGCATGTTTCCAAAAGGTATCCCACATTAAAAAAAACACCAAATAAGAAACAATATACTGTCGGTGGGATTGTATAGTACCATACCTTTCGAAGGGTACTTTGAAATTCTTTTGTCTCAGAAATTACATGGCTAGTCATCTATCTTCACAAATTTATTCACTTAACAATTATTGAACACTCACTATGTGCTAGACACTGAGCTAAACACTGAAGAGACAGTGGTAAATAACTCAGTATTAAGGCCTCATGGGGTTGTTATGTCACAGTAGGCAGTGATACTATAAAAACAGCATCAGGTAGTCATCAGTGCTCTGAAGGAAACTACAGAACAGTTGTGTTCACTTCATTGCTTCGTTCATAATTATTCATAACATAAATATGCATGACATGCATTATTGTTCATACATTTCATATGTATCAAAGAATGCATAACAAAATAAAAGAGAAAACAGGGTGAGGGGACAAGAGTGATGGGAGTAAAAGGAAAATGCCACTATTTCTTGGGTAAACAGCCAGGGAACTTTTCTCTGATAAGATAACATGTCAGAAAGGCATGAAGCATGTCAGAAGGTGAGCCGCATAGAGCTCTGGGGCAACAGCCTTCCCAATGGAGGCAATGGAAAATGCAAAGGTTCTGAGGCAGAAAGGGGCTTGGCATGTTCAAGGGATCATGAAAAAGTCAGTGTGGCTGGAATGGAGTGAGCAATGGGAAACATGATCGTCATGGAGGTGGCAGGTAGCCATTTTCTGAAGGCCACTGTAGACCATGGTAAGGAAGTTAGACTCTACCTAACAAAGATGGGAAGACATTGAAATGTACCGAATAGGAATTCCGAGCCAAGATGGCCGAATAGGAACAGTTCTGGTCTACAGCTCCCAGCGTGAGCAACGCAGAAGACGGTTGATTTCTGCATTTCCATCTGAGGTACCAGGTTCATCTCACTAGGGAGTGCCAGACAGTGGGCGCAGGTCAGTGGGTGCGCGCACTGTGCGCGAGCTGAAGCGGGGCGAGGCATTGCCTCACTTGGGAAGCGCAAGGGGTCAGGGAGTTCCCTTTCTGAGTCAAAGAAAGGGGTGACGGACGGCACCTGGAAAATCGGGTCACTCCCACCTGAATACTGCGCTTTTCCGACAGGCTTAAAAAACGGCACACCACGAGATTATATCCCGCACCTGGCTCGGAGGGTCCTACGCCCACGGAGCGTCGCTCATTGCTAGCACAGCAGTCTGAGATCAAACTGCAAGGCGGCAGCGAGGCTGGGGGAGGGGCGCCCGCCATTGCCCAGGCTTGATTAGGTAAACAAAGCAGCTGGGAAGCTCGAACTGGGTGGAGCCCACCACAGCTCAAGGAGGCCTGCCTGCCTCTGTAGGCTCCATCTCTGGGGGCAGGGCACAGACAAACAAAAAGACAGCAGTAACCTCTGCAGACTTAAATGTCCCTGTCTGACAGCTTTGAAGAGAGCAGTGGTTCTCCCAGCACGCAGCTTGAGATCTGAGAACGGGCAGACTGCCTCCTAAAGTGGGTCCCTGACCCCTGACCCCCGAGCAGCCTAACTGGGAGGCACCCCCCAGCAGGGGCACACTGACACCTCACACGGCAGGGTATTCCAACAGACCTGCAGCTGAGGGTCCTCTCTGTTAGAAGGAAAACTAACAAACAGAAACGACATCCACACCAAAAACCCATCTGTACATCATCATCATCAAAGACCAAAAGTAGATAAAACCACAAAGATGGAGAAAAAACAGAACAGAAAAACTGGAAACTCTAAAACGCAGAGCGCCTCTCCTCCTCCAAAGGAACGAAGTTCCTCACCAGCAACAGAACAAAGCTGGATGGAGAATGACTTTGACGAGCTGAGAGAAGAAGGCTTCAGACGATCAAATTACTCTGAGCTACGAGAGGACATTCAAACCAAAGGCAAAGAAGTTGAAAACTTTGAAAAAAATTTAGAAGAATATATCACTAGAATAACCAATACAGAGAAGTGCTTAAAGGAGCTGATGGAGCTGAAAACCAAGGCTCGAGAACTACGTGAAGAATGCAGAAGCTTCAGTAGCTGATTCGATCAACTGGAAGAAAGGGTATCAGCAATGGAAGATGAAATGAATGAAATGAAGTGAGAAGGGAAGTTTAGAGAAAAAAGAATAAAAAGAAATGAGCAAAGCCTCCAAAAAATATGGGACTATGTGAAAAGACCAAATCTACGTCTGATTGGTGTACCTGAAAGTGATGGGGAGAATGGAACCAAGTTGGAAAACACTCTGCAGGATATTATCCAGGAGAACTTCCCCAATCTAGCAAGGCAGGCCAACGTTCAGATTCAGGAAATACAGAGAACACCACAAAGATACTCCTCGAGAAGAGCAACTCCAAGACACATAATTGTCAGATTCACCAAAGTTGAAATGAAGGAAAAAATGTTAAGGGCAGCCAGAGAGAAAGGTCGGGTTACCCACAAAGGGAAGCCCATCAGACTAACAGCAGATCTCTCGGCAGAAACCCTACAAGCCAGAAGAGAGTGGGGGCCAATATTCAACATTCTTAAAGAAAAGAATTTTCAACCCAGAATTTCATATCCAGCCAAACTAAGCTTCATAAGTGAAGGAGAAATAAAATCCTTTACAGACAAGCAAATGCTGAGAGATTTTCTCACCACCAGGCCTGCCTTACAAGAGCTCCTGAAGGAAGCACTAAACATGGAAAGGAACAACCGCTACCAGCCGCTGCAAAATCATGCCAAAATGTAAAGACCATCGAGACTAGGAAGAAACCGCATCAACTAACGAGCAAAATCACCAGCTAACATCATAATGGCAGGATCAAATTCACACATAACAATATTAACTTTAAATGTAAATGGACTAAACGCTCCAATTAAAAGACATAGACTGGCAAATTGGATAAAGAGTCAAGACCCATCAGTGTGCTGTATTCAGGAAACCCATCTCATGTGCAGAGACACACATAGGCTCAAAATAAAAGGATGGAGGAAGATCTACCAAGCCAATGGAAAACAAAAAAAGGCAGGGGTTGCAATCCTAGTCTCTGATAAAACAGACTTTAAACCAACAAAGATCAAAAGAGACAAAGAAGGCCATTACATAATGGTAAAGGGATCAATTCAACAAGAAGAGCTAACTATCTTAAATATATATGCACCTAATACAGGAGCACTCAGATTCATAAAGCAAGTCCTTAGAGACCTACAAAGAGACTTAGACTCCCACACAATAATAATGGGAGATTTTCACACCCCACTGTCAACATTAGACAGATCAACAAGACAGAAGGTTAACAAGGATATCCAGGAATTGAACTCAGCTCTGCACCAAGAGGACCTAATAGACATCTACAGAACTCTCCACCCCAAATCAACAGAATATACATTTTTTTCAGCACCACACCACACCTATTCCAAAATTGACCACATAGTTGGAAGTAAAGCTCTCCTCAGCAAATGTAAAAGAACAGAAATGATAACAAACTGTCTCTCAGACCACAGTGCAATCAAACTAGAACTCAGGATTAAGAATCTCACTCAAAACCGCTCAACTACATGGAAACTGAACAACCTGCTCCTGAATGACTACTGGGTACATAACGAAATGAAGGCAGAAATAAAGATGTTCTTTGAAACCAACGAGAACAAAGACACAACATACCAGAATCTCTGGGACACATTCAAAGCAGTGTGTAGAGGGAAATTTATAGCACTAAATGCCCACAAGAGAAAGCAGGAAAGATCTAAAATTGACACCCTAACATCACAATTAAAAGAACTAGAGAAGCAAGAGCAAACACATTCAAAAGCTAGCAGAAGGCAAGAAATAACTAAAATCAGAGCAGAACTGAAGGAAATAGAGACACAAAAAACCCTTCAAAACATTAATGAATCCAGGAGCTGGTTTTTTGAAAGGATCAACAAAATTGATAGACCACTAGCAAGACTAATAAAGAAAAAAAGAGAGAAGAATCAAATAGATGCAATAAAAAATGATAAAGGGGATATCACCACCGATCCCACAGAAATACAAACTACCATCAGAGAATACTACAAACACCTCTATGCAAATAAACTAGAAAATCTAGAAGAAATGGATAAATTCCTCAACACATACACTCTCCCAACACTAAACCAGGAAGAAGTTGAATCTCTGAATAGACCAATAACAGGAGCTGAAATTGTGGCAATAATCAATAGCTTACCAACCAAAAAGAGTCCAGGACCAGATGGATTCACAGCCGAATTCTACCAGAGGTACAAGGAGGAACTGGTACCATTCCTTCTGAAACCATTCCAATCAATAGAAAAAGAGGGAATCCTCCCTAACTCATTTTATGAGGCCAGCATCATTCTGATACCAAAGCCGGGCAGAGACACAACAAAAAAAGAGAATTTTAGACCAATATCCTTGATGAACATTGATGCAAAAATCCTCAATAAAATACTGGCAAAACGAATCCAGCAGCACATCAAAAATCTTATCCACCATGATCAAGTGGGCTTCATCCCTGGGATGCAAGGCTGGTTCAATATACGCAAATCAATAAATGTAATCCAGCATATAAACAGAGCCAAAGACAAAAACCACATGATTATCTCAATAGATGCAGAAAAAGCCTTTGACAAAATTCAACAGCCCTTCATGCTAAAAACTCTCAATAAATTAGGTATTGATGGGACGTATTTCAAAATAATAAGAGCTATCCATGACAAACCCACAGCCAATATCATACTGAATGGGCAAAAACTGGAAGCATTCCCTTTGAACACTGGCACAAGACAGAGATGCCCTCTTTCACCACTCCTATTCAACATAGTGTTGGAAGTTCTGGCCAGGGCAATCAGGCAGGAGAAGGAAATAAAGGGTATTCAATTAGGAAAATAGGAAGTCAAATTGTCCCTGTTTGCAGACGACATGATTGTATATCTAGAAAACCCCATCGTCTCAGCCCAAAATCTCCTTAAGCTGATAAGCAACTTCAGCAAAGTCTCAGGATACAAAATCAATATACAAAAATCACAAGCATTCTTATACACCAACAACAGACAAACAGAGAGCCAAATCATGAGTGAACTCCCATTCACAATTGCTTCAAAGAGAATAAAATACCTAGGAATCCAACTTACAAGGGATGTGAAGGACCTCTTCAAGGAGAACCACAAACCACTGCTCAACGAAATAAAAGAGGATACAAACAAATGGAAGAACATTCCATGCTCATGGGTAGGAAGAATCAATATCGTGAAAATGGCCATACTGCCCAAGGTAATTTACAGATCAATGCCATCCCCATCAAGCTACCAATGACTTTCTTCACAGAATTGGAAAAAACTACTTTAAAGTTCATATGGAACCAAAAAAGAGCCCGCATCGCCAAGTCAATCCTAAGCCAAAAGAACAAAGCTGGAGGCATCACACTACCTGACTTCAAACTATACTACAAGGCTACAGTAACCAAAACAGCATGGTACTGGTACCAAAACAGAGATATAGATCAATGGAACAGAACAGAGCCCTCAGAAAGAACGCCGCATATCTACAACTATCTGATCTTTGACAAACGTGAGAAAAACAAGCAATGGGGAAAGGATTCCCTGTTTAATAAATGGTGCTGGGAAAACTGGCTAGCCATATGTAGAAAGCTGAAACTGGATCCCTTCCTTACACCTTATACAAAAATCAATTCAAGATGGATTAAAGACTTAAACGTTAGACCTAAAACCATAAAAACCCTAGAAGAAAACCTAGGCTTTACCATTCAGGACATAGGCATGGGCAAGGACTTCATATCTAAAACACCAAAAGCAATGGCAACAAAAGCCAAAATTGACAAATGGGATCTAATTAAACTAAAGAGCTTCTGCACAGCAAAAGAAACTACCATCAGAGTGAACAGGCAACCTACAAAATGGGAGAAAATTTTCGCAACCTACTCATCTGACAAAGGGCTAATATCCAGAATCTACAATGAACTCAAACAAATTTACAAGAAAAAAACAAACAACCCCATCAAAAAGTGGGCGAAGGACATGAACAGACACTTCTCAAAAGAAGACATTTATGCAGCCAAAAAACACATGAAAAAATGCTCACCATCACTGGCCATCAGAGAAATGCAAATCAAAACCACAATGAGATACCATCTCACACCAGTTAGAATGGCAATCATTAAAAAGTCAGGAAACAACCGGTGCTGGAGAGGCTGTGGAGAAATAGGAACACTTTTACACTGTTGGTGGGACTGTAAACTAGTTCAACCATTGTGGAAGGCAGTGTGGCGATTCCTCCGGGATCTAGAACTGGAAATACCATTTGACCCAGCCATCCCATTACTGGGTATATACCCAAAGGACTATAAATCATGCTGCTATAAAGACACATGCACACGTATGTTTATTGCGGCATTATTCACAATAGCAAAGACTTGGAACCAACCCAAATGTCCAACAATGATAGACTGGATGAAGAAAATGTGGCACATATACACCATGGAATACTATGCAGCCATAAAAAATGATGAGTTCATGTCCTTTGTAGGGACATGGATGAAATTGGAAATCATCATTCTCAGTAAACTATCGCAAGAACAAAAAACCAAACACCACATATTCTCACTCATAGGTGGGAATTGAACAATGAGATCACATGGACACAGGAAGGGGAATATCACACTCTGGGTACTGTTGTGGGGTGGGGGGAGGGGGGAGGGATAGCATCGGGAGATATACCTAATGCTAGATGACGAGTTAGTGGGTGCAGCGCACCAGCATGGCACATGTATACATATGTAACTAACCTGCACAATGTGCACATGTACCCTAAAACTTAAAGTATAATAAAAAAAAAAGAAAGGTACCAAGTAGGCTTATGCTTTAAAATGATCATGCACTGGCTGCTGTTTGGAAAACAGACGATAGGAAGACAAAGGTATAGAAATGCACAGACATAGGTACAATGATGGTCACTGTCTCTGTATTTAAAGAGATGAAAAATAAAAACAGCTGAAATATCCACCAATGAGAGTAGGTTAAAGAAATGATGTAACATGCAACCATCTCCTGGACCACTGGGCAGCCCTTCAAAGGAATGAGGCAGAACTATGTGTAATATTTGGAAAGATGCCTATTACATGCTGTTAAGTGAACAAAAAGCCAGTTGTAAAACAAAATGGTAAGATCCCTCTTTTACTAAAAAGAAGAAAACATGTAGAGCACCACACACACACACCCTTTTTTGTGGAAGCATAGAAAATATTAAGCGAGTAATTTATGGTAGACAGAATAATGGAACCCCCAAATATATTCACACCCTAATCCCAGAAACTGTGAATACGTGACCTTATTCACCGTAAATATGTGACCTTATTCAAAGTAAAAAGGACTTTGCAGATATGATTAAGGGTGTGAACCTTATGATAGGGAGAGCATGCTGGTTCACTTAGGTGGATCCAATCAAAGCACATGAGTCCTTAAGAGAGATAAACTTCCCTCGCTGAATCAGAAAGATGGCAGCATCAGAAAGATTTGATGCATTGTTCCTTGTTCTGAGATGTAGGAGGCTGTGTGAAAGAACCACAGGGAGGCCTTCAATAATTAAGGGCAGCCCCTGCAAGACAGCCAGCAATGAAAGGGGGACCTCAGTTCTGCAACAGCAAGGCACTAAGTTCTGCCAACATCTGAATGAGCTTGGAATCCAATTCTTCCCTAAATCCTCCAGAAAAGAACACAGCCCTGCCCATAATTTGACTTTAGCCCTGTAAGACCCATAGCTGACTTATGATCTCTAGAACTGCAATCTGTATTGTTTTAAGCCACTAAGTTTGTGGTGATTTGTTAAAGCAGCAATAGAAAACCAATAATACGTAACCTCAGCCAGCAGGATCTCACAGCAAAAGAGGATCCCAAGAAAAAATTAGAGAAATTAGATTGGTTAGATCTTATTCCTGGCCCAAACCCCAGAGTCTCTGATTCAGCAGGTCTGGGGTGGGGCTTCAGAGTTTGCGTTTCTAACAAGTTCCTAGGGGATGGAGGTGCTGCTGGTCCAGGACTACAGTTTGAGTACTGTTGATCAAGAGAATAGGGTCTAGAACCATACCTACTGGAACCAAATTTTGGTTCCACTGCATACTCACTTTTGACCTTAAGCAAATTATCTTTGCCCTAGTTTTTTCAACCATTAAGGGGATGGTAATACTAGTTTCTACCTCATGAGCTTATTCTGAGACTAAATTAGTTAATATATGTAAAATATTTAGAAAGCTGCCAGCACATATTTAGAACTAGGTATATTTTAACCATTATTACTTTACTGTGTACTTATTTGACCTGTAATCTGTTTTTTTACAATCAAATAGAATCTCTCTTTGAAAGTCATTCATATCCTTTTCCAAGTGCCTTCCCTTTTTCTCACTTTCTCTGACATCCTATTAACCTTTAGACCAAAACCTTCATAGATAGACCTCTTTCTTCAGCAAACCTGGCCCTCACTGGGGAAATAAAAGCCTCCAGCTACAAAACAACAACTGCCCTTTCTCCTTTCCTGCACCTTCTCCTTCACTCTTTTTCCCATCAGTTGAAGGGGAAATGCTTCAGGAAAAGGGAACTGCTACAACAGCAAATCTTTCTTGCTCAGCCTTCCCTTTCAATACTTTAATAATTGAGCTGGTCTGCTCTACTCTGAGTGAGCTCTAGAATTATTGTTCTCCTGAGAATTTGACGAGGCAATACTGAAATAACAAATGTAATTTACTTCAACTTTCGCTAAACAAAACAAAATGGTTTATGCATCATCACGTCGCGTCTTTTTGATAAGCCACCTCTACTCATGATCAAAAATATGCGGCTGATAAATAAATTCAATCAGCAGACAAGGCTCTTGTAGCTCTTTAAATTGTCAATCTCTATTGACAATAGCAGCAATTTCAGCTAAACACTGAGGAGGCCAGCAGGCCACTAACTCCCAGCCTCCGCTCCCACTTGCAAACAGAGCCCCACTGTGGCTCTGCAAGCCCTTCGCCCACACTCTCACCTACCCGGCCACCAATAGGCAGCTTCTCAGCCTAATTGTACCTTTATCTGCTACAACTTTGAACTCAGCGAAATTTATACCAGGTGTTGCAAATTTTTTACTGGTAATGAGTTAATTTACACAGATGGCTGTCACTTCTCCATTTCTCCAGCTCCTTTGCTGATAAGGCAGGAAACAGCTTGACTGTGCAGAGCCCGTGGAGCCCAGAAAAGTCGGGGATGGGGAGTGGTCCCTGACCAAATGGACACGCCCTGGCTCCAGAGCTCTGCCCTGGCCCCCAGAGCAAGCCAAGCCTTACCCACCGACCCTGCCAACTCTAGCCCAGGACTTTTAGTTCCCTGCTAAAAGAGCTCTTACACAACTGAAACGAGACCAACCAACCCACTAGTTGGGAGGGCAGGGGGTGGCAAGAGAGATGTGATTATAAGTACCTTTTAAATCCCAGGAAATTCATCTTTTCAATTGCTTTTGTTGGTTTTTCAACCCGGAAGGCCTCAAATGCGTGCTAAAGCATCTTGTGAAAGTGCTAACGGGGGATGCAGCGCCTCAGAGTTAGATACTGCCAAATAAGGCACCCTCCTCACTGTGTGAAGCCCTCTGGGTTAGTGGCTCTGCAGGCAAGGCGGCAGCAAGCGCCCAGGGCTGGGCTGGGACTGTCTCCCAGCCTGCCTATATAATGGAAAACTGTATCAATAATAATAGGTAACATTATATACAATGTTATATGTAATCATAATGGCACCAAATATAATTCACGGTTAACATTTCGCATTCAATGCCTTCACCTGGTGGATTTCGAATCTGACCAAGAATTCCAATCACCTACAGAGCGTTTCCAACTCTTGAAGCCCAGGTTACACTCCATACTACTCAAATCGGATCTCTAAAGGCAGGAGCCAGTGGGCAGTGTTTGTTAAAGATGATTCCAGGTGATTCCAATGTACAGCAAAGTTTAGGAACTGCTACCTGAACCCAAAGGAGAGACATCAGCAACCCTGGACAGGCAAGCAGGAGCTAATTTTTTGAGTTGAGCCAACTCTCCACATAAAGTGCCATCCCCTAGCCTCTAGCCTGTTCCATCCCTGCTGGTACCGTGTTTGTTTTCTTTTAATTTTTTGAGGGCAGGGGATGCCAAGGTCCCCCAGGCATATAATGTCTTTCATGAATAATGTCTTAATGTCTTTAAGAAACTATGCTCTACAAGCCATACTACTAGCAGCCTGGGTCACTGCCAGCCTCCCATTACCCATGCTGGACCCAATCAATCTTAGCCACACCCTGTCCCTCATCTTTCCCCTCCCCTTGCAGTCCATGACCATCCTGTTCCCACCACAACAAAGCATTCCCTGAATCCCGGCTCCAACTGTCCACCTCCTAGCCATCAATGCAGGCACAACCCGAGTGCCATTCCCTCCATGAAATCTATGTTGATCTTCTCTCCAAGTTGTCTCTACAAATCTGAGGGTCAGGTCTATAGATTTAATGAAAAGAGCATCACACATAGATCAGTAGACCTGGATGTGAGATTTCACCACTGTAACCGAAATGCTAGTTGTTGAGTCAATTTTATTTTCCCCTTCTTCCTTAAAACTATCCTTGGACTGCCTAACACTGTGCTGATTTTACTGGGAAAAAACCCAAACCTCTACCTTGATCCACCAGGTGATGTTATTAACAGCCAAACCTAACTTGAACTGGAACAAGTAGATGCTGGTTGTGAGATCCTGGACAGGCCATTGTTCTTCTGAACCTTAGTTTCTTCAACTATAAAATAGGAAGAAAATGAGCTGTGAGGATTATTTAAAATCACCTAACAGTTAGTTGAACTTGTCTGTATCTTAATTAATTGAATAAAAACTTCTCACTTCGTAGACAATGGAACTGAGCACTTAAAGGGGAAGTGCTTTGCTCAAGGACACAAAGAAAATTAGTAGCAGGTGCAGGAATTAAAACCAGAGCCCCTTTGATTTGGAACTCAACTTAAATCAACAGAACTCAGGCTTAACTACTTGAAAATCATTGCAAGCAGTAATGAGAAAATATTGATTTAAAAATCATGTTAGTAGATGATCAAAAACAGAAGCTATTTAGTCCATTAGGAATTGCTTTTAAGCTGGGAGGGTGTGGGAAAGATCTTATAGAAAGATAACCAACAGTCAATTATGCCCACACTAGGTATGGAATAGTTTATTCTCCACTCATGTGAAATGCTATCTTTACAAACACCCACCCACACACACACACACACACAATCTCACGGATCTATTTGTCTATTCCTGTGCCAATAAGTCATTGTGCTGATTAATGGCAAGACGAGCCCCTCCTACCATGTTCCTTTAAAAAGTTTTATTCGCTTTTGTTGCTTTCTCTTTCTAATGAATTCTAGAATCAGCTTCTCAAATTCTATAAAACATCTCACTGTGATATTAATTGGGTTGCATTACATTTATAATTTCTGGAGAACTGACATCTTTACTATAATAATAGTGCTTATTGTGTACCAGGTATGATTCTATTTTCCCTGCCAGGTGCCAAGTAAATTATCTAAGCATTTGGGGTATATTTTCAAAAATATAGACATGTATTTATATTTTATTTTATTTCTTATGTCAAAAAATTAAAACAGAGATTCTTGCCCTCAAGAAGCTTATATTTTGGCAGAGGTAGTCAGTCAATAAATAAGAAATACGGCCTGGTGCGGTGGCTCACGTCTGTAATCCCAGCACTTTGGGAGGCCAAAGCGGGAGGATCACTTGAGTCCAGGAGTTTGAGGCCAGCCTGGGCAACATAGGGAGATCCCATCTCTACAAAAAGTTTAAAAATTAGCTGGACGTGGTGGCATATGCCTGTGGTCCCAGCTACTTGGGAGGCTGAGGTGGGAAGATCGCTTGAGCCCAGGAGATCAAGGTTGCAATGAGTGATGATCACACCACTGCACTCCAGCCTGGGTAATAGCAAGACCCTGCCTCAAAACAAACAAACAAAAATAAGTAAATGATATCATATGCTAGAGGGTAGTTAGTGCTATAGAAAATAAAATGAGGAGGGAAAGTAGGATACAGGGAATCAGGAGAGCAGGGTGCAGGTCACACAGCCTTATATAGGTTAATCATGGTAGAATAACTCATTGATTCCTCAGTGAACCTTAACTCTATGGCTACTGACACTTTACAGGGAAATAAAATTGAGGCACAAAGAGGTTTAAGTAATAGGCCAAAGTCACACTGCTAGGAAGTGACAGAGCCAGGATTTGAAGTTGAGCAGGCTGGGCTCCAGATTCCTGGAGCCAGAGTCAATATTCCTAACCCTACACTGCATGCCATCCAGGTTCCAGGTATGTTTCTCAATTTCCATCCATCTTTATATCCATCAGCAAAATATAACATTTTTCATTTAGTATGGCACATTTCTTGTTCAGTTTATTTTTATGTATTTATACTATTTCTTGCCATTGCAATGTGAAATATTTTCACCATGACATTTTCTAATCAGCTTTTGCTACTGTATGGAAAAGCTATTGATTTTTATGTGGTAATCAGCTATCTCTGAGTGCTTATAAGTTCCAGTAGTCTTCCGGTTGGTTTTCTTGGATTTTATAATTAGAAACACATAAAATAACAGTTTGCCTCTTCCTTTCCATTATGTTTTTATATTTCATTTTTGCTCCTGCAGTTCTAAGTATTTTCAAATTTTCACTGTGATTCCAGTTTTGACCCATTGGTTATTTTTAAGTGTGTTAATTTTCAAATATGTGGTAATTTTCTAGTTATCTTTTGTTATTGATTTCTAGCTTATTTCTACTATGGTCAGACATTCTAATCTATGCGATTTCAGCCCTTTGAAATTTGTTGAGCCTTGCTTTATGGTCCAATAATGGTTGATTTTGGTAAATATTCCATGTGCAATTGAAAAAAAATTCCGCCATTGTTAAATGCTGTGTTCTATAAATGTCAATGAAGTCAAATGTGTTAACCATGTTCACATGTTCTATATACTTACTGATTTTTTTAATCTGCTTATTCCTTTAATGGTTAATCTAGAGATTGTAACATGCATTGTTGTTTTTCAAATTAGCACAAGTGTATGCAGGGACCTTAAAACATTCCAATTCCATTTACTCCCTCCTGCCACTTGTGGTATTTGTTGTTTTTATAAAATGTTTTTTTTAATTGTTATTTTTGTGTAAACAGAAGCAATATTTATTCAGATTTTTCCATATAGTAATAATTACCTTTTCTATTGCTCTTTATTCTTTCTTGCATCTACTTGGGATAATTTTTCTGCTGCCTGAAAAGCAGTATTTAGGTATTTCTTTTAGTGCAGGTGTCCTGGTGATGAATTCCCTTAATTACTTTTTATTTGAAAATGTCTGTGTCTTCCCTTCATTTGTTAAAGATAACTTAATGAATAAAGAATTCCAGGTCGGTGGTTATTTTCTTTCACTATTTTAAAGATGTCATTTTATTTGCTTCTGGCTTCTACTGTTTCTTTGACAGGTCAATATCAATCTCACAGTTTCTCCTTTGAAAAGGATATGTCCTTTTTCTTCTGGCTGGTTTTAAGATTTTCTGTTTGTCTTTGGTTTTTCAGCAGTTTGACTATAATGTATACAAGAGAAACCATGCTTGAATTTTATAGGACTTTCATAATCTTTGTTTCAATATGTTTCATCAATTTTAGAAAATTCTCAGTCATTATCTACTTAAACATCACTTCTCTCTTCTTCTAGGATTCCAGTCTCACATATGTTAGACTCTGTCACACTATGTCATATTATCTTACGTTCATTTCTGTATTTTTATTCTTTTGTCCCTTTTGTGCTTCAGTCTAAAATTTTTTCTTCAAAATTATATTTCTATTCACTAATTTTCTTTTCAGTTTTATTTAATTTGTTCTTAAATCTATCCATTGAGCTCTTAATTTATTGCTTTCCATGAGTCTGTCAAAAGCTCAGCTCAGCTGCTTGGCCTCTCATCCACTACTTTTCAGAATCAATAATTTCTTAGTAGGGTAAAGCAGCATAAAATACCAGACTCCCCTCCCTGGGCTTCTGTCTGGGACCTTGGCCCTGAAAATCCTCCCTGCCTTGTTAGTTCCCTGATGACTCCAAAGAAGTGCTTTGAAATATTATTATTGAGCTTCATTCACTGTCTTCAGCAGGAGGATTGGTATAAAGCAACCTATTCCACCACTGCTAAAGGTGGGATTTCTTCATTATTTTGGGAAACAGCATAGTACTTACAAGGCTTTGAACTGTGTCTGGCATGACAGAATGTACTCAATAAGTTTATGTTATTATTGTACACAAATGAACCCATAGTTCCTTTTCTGTGTGTTATCTTGATTGTTTTTAGTATCATTATTTTGCCGGCTTTGTATAATGGGTTAGTTGACATTCCATATTTCTCTATCTTCTAAAACTGTTCATATAATATAGAGATTATCTGTTTCTTGAAGATTTGATATAACTCACCCATAAAATTACTTGAGCCTACTATTGTTTTTAGGGGCAAACTTTTGGTTACCTTTTTAATTTCTTCTATAATTATTAATTATCTCTGTATAGGAATTATTCTAAAACTATATCAGAAATTCAGACATTATTCTTATTCATATTTTCCATCTCTTAAAAAATTTACAAAATTACCAGTAGAGGTTAAATACAATATTTTAACAAAGTTTCTTCTGGGTCTGTGGTTATACCTCATTTATCATTTCTAATGTAATTTGTGTTTTTTCTGGCTTTTTAAGTCACATTTGACTAATTTTATTTAATTTTTAGGAAAAAAAAGCTTTTGGTTTTATGGATCAAGTCTACTGTTTTGTTGTTATTGTTGTGAGAAGGTACATGTCTCACTTTGGGGCTGAGGTTGTGTTAGCCCATATGCATCACTATAAAGGAATACCTGAGGGTGGGTAATTTGTAAAGGAAAGAGATTTATTTTGGCTCACAGTTCTGCAGGCTGTACAGGAAGCATGGTACCAGCATCTGCTTCTGATGAGGGCCTCAGGAAGCTTCCAGTCATGGTGGAAGGTGAAGGGGGAGCCAGCGTATCACATGGTAAGAGAGAAAGCAAGGGACGGGGAGGTGCCACACTCTTTCAAACAACCATCCCTCTCATGAACTCAGAGAAAAAACTCACTCATTACAGAGAGGAGAGCACCAAACCATTCATGAGGGATCCACCCCCATGACCCAACACCAGGCCCCACTTCCAACATTGGAGATTATATTTCAGCATGAGATTTCGAGGGGACAAAACATCCAAACCATATCAGATAATTTAAAGCTCTCTCTTGCCCTGTCTTGGCAACATATAAGTTTACATGTTTCAGGTGGATTAAGATAGATTAGAGAAATCCAGCTTCCATCAGATTTTGTGTAAGAGAGAAGTGTAAGAGAGAGAATTTGAGCAGCCACTGAGATTTCAGGGTTTATTTGTAATTGCAGCACAATCTAGCCAATTCTGATTAATGCAGGAATTAAAATTTTTGGTACCTTAAAATATGGTCAATTTTTAAAATTTCCCATGGATATTTTAGGTGGATTTGTATTCTTTGTTTGTACTTGTGTGATTCTTTTAGTTGTCTTGAGTTTGTTTAAATTTTAAAATATCTTTCCAGCATATTAAGAAATTTAGGATAGGAAAGGACACGCACCTAGCCTCCATTGTGATTTCAACTCTACCTTTTGTCTAGTTATATTCTCAAAGAGTTTGCATTTTGTAGCTGGAAATGGGTAATTTTAAAGAAAATATTTATTAAAAGTCATGTAGGCTTTGTAATTTTAGTAATAACTAAGAAAGCATAAGCTTTATAACCATAAGCTCTTTATTTAAAAGTCAGAAGTTGGTGGATTATAAACATGAAATTCCTTCCTCCATCCCCTCATCACTGCCTTCAACTATGTCCTTGTCTCCTAATGACATCTCAGGTAGAGCTCATAGCATTCAGGACGCTGGCAACAAGAAAACAACCCACTGCAGGCTAATTCAATAAATTGCAAATTTTAATTTCAAAGCATTTCTTCTCAATCAAGTGCCGGCCAGGCTTCTCTCAGTACAACTTGCAATGGAAAAGTGGCTTGCCCTCTTGACAACTACCCGCTTCCTACTCTGGTTGTCCATTTCTACTAGAGTGTGCAATGGTTTCTTAGAAAGTCCGTGAAGTATGTGGCCCTATTTAGCCCATGGAGTTATTCAGAAGCTATCACTGGCAGAATTGGTTCTCTAGCAATGGGAACAATAAGGCAGGAAAGGTTTTATTCACCACACTTTAATTATATAAATCCCAAAGTAGTCATTAAGGGTATAAAGAAGTTTCACTCTTTTGAAAGACCACAATAATCCAATGTTGGTTTAAAAAAAGGCAGGGGTTGGGGAATCTGGTATTCATACTACTGTTGATAGACATATTGAATTCCTTCATTTGCAGTTTAATAAATATTTATTATGTAGGCAGCAGTTCCTGATAGAGCTTAAGATTCTGGAGAACAGAAATGTCAATACATACAAGGTCCCTGCCTTTGAGAACCTTACATTCTAGCTGGGGAAAGACATACCAGAAACAAGTAAATCAATAAGATATTTTTAATTTGTGGTAAGTGATATGAAAGAAATAAAACTGGGGAATGTGATAGAAAGTTAAGGGGAGCATTAGAGGCACTGTGGCATTGTCAGGAACACTACTCTGAGAAAGGATATTTGAGCTAAGACCTGAAGCATAACAAGGAGCCAGGCATTCAAAGGACCTGGGAAAAAGCCTCAAGCAGAGAACAAAAATTATAATGTAATATTGAGATAGCAATGCACTTTAAACTAAAAAAAAACAAAGGAGGCCCAACTGGGTTTCAGTTCCCTGAGGGAGATAGTTGACAAGTTAGGGGGCAGCTAGATCATGTAGAGCCTTATAGTTATGGGGATAATTCTGAATTTTTTTCCAAATGCTACAGGAAGTCTTTAAAGTATTTCAGTAGGGGATCAAAATGGACATGGACTGGTTTTCAGTTTTTGAAGGAAAATAGAATGTGAGGAAGCAAGGTAGGAGGCAGGGAGCTCAGCACAGAAGCTGTGGCCATGGTTCAAGCAACACAGTATGGTGGCTGGGACCAGGGTGGTGGCATTGGCAATGTGGAGAAGAGGTAGAACTAATATGACACACTGATATACTGGCCATGGAGGATGAGAAATGACAGGAATCAAGGATGATTCCAAAGTTTTGAGTTTAAACAGCTGGGTTGATGGTGGTACCATTTACTGAAGTGTAAGACTGCAGAGGATTGAGATGGTGGTAGAGGAATCAGTTCGGTTTTCGATATAGTAAGTTTGAGAAGCCTACAAGATATTTAAGTGGAAACTCAGGTAGGCAGTTTGAATAGAGTTATAAATTTTGTAGCCATATACAAAAGTGATATTTAAATCTGTGGCAATAGACGAAATCATATAAGATTAAAGTGTAGTAAGAGAGTTCAGAATCTAAGGCCTGAACTATGGGGCAGTCCAACATGACTGTAACATATTCTATTCGAATTTTTGTGTAGTAGCTTACAGAAAAAAAGATGATATCTGTAAAGAAGGAAACTTGGGGAATTAACTCAGTATTAGGCTGTGATATATTCATATAATGAGAGAATTATTTTAATTATCCACCCCATTACATGTGGCCACCACAGAATGCTATAACTGTCACTCCAACAGTTAGAATGCTAAATACAAGGCAAAGCCTTTTTACATGCTGCAGAGAGGTAAGAGAAAGGGTTAAATTTTTTTTTTTATTAAAGCCCAAAGCAGAACAAATAAAAGATTGGAATTTGTAACAAAGATGAGTAAGATACCTAATTGTACCCAGGTGTTTGTAGTTCCCTAAATTTTGCTTTAAATTATATCCTATTTATATTTAATGTTTATGTTAATACTAGTTACTGTTTATGCATAGCTGATTTAGTAAAGTGTTCACTCTCTATGGAAAAAAATGTAAATTAGTGGAAAATCATGATAATACTCTTTAATTCTGTTTATCGTGCAGAGCTGTTCATGATGTGATACTACAACCAAAACACACCTTCCACTTAGCAGCTTATTTAAATTGCAAGAAAACAGGGGTGAAATGAACAGTCTCTGGAATGTCAGTCTTGCATGGCAAAGGGTATACAGAGATTGCAAATACCTCTTAAGAGCTGGAAACCATTATTCTCAGAAAACTAACACAGGAACAGAAAACCAAACACCGCATGTTCTCACTCATAAGTGTGAGTTGAGCAATGAGAACACATGGACACAGGGAGGGGAACATCACACACGGGGGCCTGTAGCGGGATGGGGGGCTAGGGGAGGGATAGCATTAGGATAAATACCTAATGTAGATGACGGGTTGATGGGTGCAGCAAACCACCATGGCACATGTATACCTATGTAACAAACCTGCACGTTCTGCACACGTATCCCAGAACTTAAAGTGTAATAATAATAAAAAAAAAGAATAGCTACTAAAGGCTCCCCAACATGGAGAAGCACAGCCAAACTAGCAAGCATTAAAACAATTAGTCTCTTGGGGTAGAATCACTTTGCAAGCAACATGGATGTTTTTTACATATTTGCATAAGTAAATTATTGATTAGAAACAAACTTAACAGTCCAGCGCGGTGGCTAATGCTTGTAATCCCAGCACTTTGGGAGGCCAAGGTGGACAGAACTCTTGAGCCCAGGAGTTGGAGACCAGCCTGATCAACACGACAAAACCCCATCTTTACAAAAAATACCAAAATTAGCTGGGTGTAGTGGTGCTCACCTGTAGTCCTAGCTACTCAGGAGGCTGAGGAGGGAGGATCACTTGAGCCTGGGATTCAGAAGTTGCAGTGAGACGAGATCACCCCACTGCACTCCAGCCTGGGTGACAGGGCAAGACCCTGTGATATGGTTTGGCTCTGTGTCCCCACCTAAATCTCATTTTGTAGCTCCCATAATCCCCACGTGTTGTATGAGGGACCTGGGGGGAGATGATTGAACCATGCGGGTGGGTCTTTCCTATGCTGTTCTCGTGATAGTGAATGGGTCTCACGAGATCTGATGCTTTTAAAAACGGGAGTTTCTGTGCACAAGCCCTCTTTTTGCCTGCTGCCATTCACCTAAGATGTGACTTGCTCCGCCTTGACTTCCGCCATGATTGCGAGGCCTCCCCAGCCAGGTGCAACTGTAAGTTCATTAAACCTCTTTCTTTTGTAAATTGCCCAGTCTCAGGTATGTCTTTATCAGCAGCGTGAAAATGGACTAATACACCCTGTCAAAGAAAAAAAAAAAAAAACACCTTGTCTTACTTCTCCTATAAGTAAATTCCAAGCCAAGGAATGACAGGAATGGATGAATTAAATTAGGCATATCAATGTATTTCTTTAAGTGTTGAGTCCATCGCAATCCCAAATATCTATTTTTTCTGAGATTAGAAAAAAACATTTCTCTTATAAAAACTGTTGATAGGAGATTAGTGGTTAAATTGGAGGTGGATATAGTAAAAAACAAAAGAAAGTTCTTTAATATTTTTTTAATGTTTCAAAGAAGTAATTCTAGTACTAGTCACATTCTCATGGACTGGAAGGGTGGTTCAGACCATTTTCCATTTTTGTCATGGCTACTAGGAAACTCAAAACCAAATTGGAATTTAAATCACAACAATGATGTCAATCCCTTTGGTATCATTGCATATTTGAAATATTAGAAGCATGTTTCTTCTTCCATTACTTGACCCTCATTTTCTATTTTTGTTGTTGAGTAGGGAGTGGCATTTCAGAGAGCTAAAATGCCCACCTTATCTAGTCTGGAAACCTCAAGTGTTTAATTTTCTTCTCTCCATATATAAGTTTCCATGACAAAAGCTATTGGAGGTAGTGTGCTGGTCCCAGGTTACTCTGCACAGTGTGAAAGAAATGGCCAACAAGTATATTTAAAAATGCTCAATATCACTAATTATCAGGGAAATGCAAATCAAAACCACAATGAGATATCACCTCATATCTGTTAGAATGGCTACTGTATAAAAAAGATTAAAAATAAAAAAGACAGGCAAGGATACAGAGAAAGGGTAACACTTATGCACTGATTGTGGGGATATAAACTAGTACAGCCATTACAGAGAACAATATGGAGGTTCCTCAAAAAACAATGAATAGAACTACCATATGATCCAGCAATCCCATAACTAGGTATTTATCTAAAGGAAAGGAAATCAGTGTATCAAAGAGATATTGGCACCCCTGTGTTTACTGCGGTACCATTCACAATAGCCAAGATATGGAAGCAATTTAAGTGCCTTTCAAAGGATGAACTGATAAAGAAAACGTGATATATATATATATATACACACACACACACACACATATACACACAATGGAATACTATTCAGCCATAAAAAAGAATGAAATCCTGTTATTCATGGCAACATAGATGAGCCTGGAGGATGTTATGTTAAGTGAAATAAGCGAGGCACAGAAAGACAAATATAGCATGAGCTCACTCATATGTGCAATCTTACAAAGTTGATCTTACAGAAATAGAAATTGGAACAGAGGTTACTAGAGGCTGAGAAGAGTAGAGGGAAAGGGAGAGAATAAGGAGGGATTTGTTAAATGATACAAAATTTCAGCTAGATAGGAGGAATGAGTCTAGTATTCTATAGCATTGTTGTGTTATTATAGTTAGCAATGATATATCATATATTTTCAAAGAGCTAGAAGACAGGATATTGAATGCTCCCAATACAAAGAAATAATAAATGTTTGAGATGATGGATATGCTGATTACTCTGATCTGATCACTATACATTGTATGTATTAAAACATCGCTATGTACCCCATAAATATGTACAATTATTATGTGTCAATTAAAAATCAATTTTTAAAACATATAGAAAAAAAAGAAAGGCATGCTTACTTTTGGGGGGATTTCTCTATCAATGATGCACATGGCCACAAGTTGTAACCTAAGAGCTTGGGGTTAGTAATACTACGCTGTAGATCCAATATGGTTTACTGAAACCTAAAGTGAAGAACTTAGCAGAATCATTTCATTTACCTGAGTTTTTGAACAGATAACTTAAGGTTTTACTATTAAACAATGGTTGGTGTGAAGGTTTTTGTTACTGATTGAGAGCAGACACCTGTATGTTTTGAAAACCAGTCAAGAGGTTGGTAGAGGTGATGTTCTATTATGAAACTTCATTTTGAGAACCATGGTCGAGGTTGAAGTTTTACTCTTGGCCTGACTCTCTGCATTGCTGATCTCAACACTCACCTGAACCCCACCTCTTGCATTCCCCATCCCCTACATTCTTGCGCATGCACACACACACACACACACACACACACACACACACACACACACACACATACACACACACAAAACACATAACCCTATACTTCTTCACCTAGGGTTAAAGTTGGGAAATTTACATGGTTTTCTGGCACCAGCTCACACATCTATTTTCTGCCTTAGATTCTATCCAAATCAGGAGTGAAAGAAATTATGAGGAAGGCAGAAAGGGAATGGAGAAGCTAGTAGCTAAGGGCATGAAAAACAATAGAAGTAGTGGAAAGAGGAAACACAGAAAATGCCTCCGAAAGGGGATGGCGATGTGACTTAACAAAGAGAACACTGGATAAGGGCCTAGAGACCTGAAATTGAGTTTTAGCTTTGTCACGGTCCCCATTGTGACTTTGGACAAAGCTCTACCATTCTTTGGTGCTCAGTTTGCTTATTTGTAAAATGGGAATTATTTGTAAAATGGGAATTGTTTTTAATCCCTAATTTTTACTTTATGGCAGTGTTGTAAAATCCAACAAGATGACATGTGTGAAAATATTTTGCAAACCATCAAGAGCAAAACCTATCTAAGGCATTAGCGATGGGAGACTTAAATAGGAGCCACCATAATCAGAACAGAAATGGCAGTTATTTTTATCTTTTCCTTACATGTTCTTCATAACCCACTGTTATCATTTAGAAAATTCCTGTGATGTAGTCATCTAGCAGCCTCTGATTTTCTTTATCCTTTTCTCAGTTTCTACTTCAAGCTGATCTTTGTAGGCAAACATGCCCTGAGTACCTCTTCAGAAGGCAAAAACAAGAGAGATCTGATTACTAGATTACTTTGTGTTATGTTGCATAAGGACATATATTGGTAATAATCCCTTAATTGCATACAGTATATCCCTGGACACACATATATGATTAAATATATAAATGCAAATACATACATGCCCACGCTTGCCCATGCACACACCCACACACCCCACAGTGAATTCCTCACCCTCCTTTTTACACTTAGCATATCACACAATAAAGAGGTGACATGGTCCTTGGGAAAGAGAGCCTTGCCATCTAGGTCACGTTGTTAACTTGCTCACCCAGAGCTTATTTTACCCAATGAGATGCTCCACCGATTTCACATGTTCTGTTTCTATTTTAACATGAATTGAGGCAGAACTAAATCATCTTAAAGCATCTGTCGATAGGCAGTTATCCAGCCACTTAGTTTCATGTTCTTCAGAACCCAGTGTTATCATTTGGAATCATTTTGTGATCCATTTATATAACAGTCTCTGAGTTTTCCTTATCTTTCTTCCACTTTCTCCTTCAAACTGATCTTTGTAGGCAAACAGGCCCTGATGATCACTGATTTCATTGCGAACCAAAGCAAAGACAGGAGCCTGATTGTTCGATTACTTTGTGCCACATTTTATAAGGAAAAACTGATGTAAGAACCCCTTGGATTTATACAAAGTACTTTGAAAATACCCCAAGGCTAGTTATGTGATCATGGGTCTTACTTAATTTCCCTTTGTTTCATCTGTAAACTGGTGATAATATTCATGATGTAGTCAGTCAATTTGGGGTATGGTCATTCGAGCAATTAGAGATCAACTTAATCATGTTCTTATTAGCCCCCTTCTGTCTATCTCACCCATGAAGATATCATGAAGGGCTTTGTCAGATGCTGTGCCGAAATCCAGATACACTGTGTTCAACGTTTCCCTGGTCTACAAGGATAGTAAAGAACCCAATCAAAAATTTAAAGGAAAGAAAGAGAGGATGAAAATTAAATTGTTTGGAGTGATCTGTACTCCATAACCCCATGCTATCTCCTGCTGATGGTCACCTCACTCCACGAGTGCCCACAAAACTTGTATTTCCATTTGGACAGTTTGCCAGTAATGGACTTCAAACTCGCTGGTGGGTACTTTCTAAAAATGACTCTTGTCTCATATTTTTTTCTTTTTTTTATTATACTTTAAGTTTTAGGGTACATGTGCACAACCTGCAGCTTTGTTACATATGTATACATCACACACCGGGGCCTCTTGTCTTATTTTTAAAATAAAACAACTTTTTCCCAGTTGTCACTTCTCCCGCCTCAAAACAGTTCCTTGCAAATCCTAAAGAGGAGTTCACACCTTAAAAGAGAGACTAATGTGGAGGAAGTAACCTATGGATGCAAATCCCTATTCACCCCTTACCTGCCATCAGAGCACCTTCAGTTCTTCCCACGGAGTCTTGTGGCCCTTGACGGTCAGTGGCAACACCACTGGGGAGGTCCTGAGGAGACCCTGAAGTCACTTAGAGGGCATGTGGCTGGTTACACACTTTTCATTTTAATTTCAACCAGCATTCAGAGAGGACCTACTTTATGCCAAGGTCCTGTGGACAGTGTAACTTCTCTCAGAGCTTACTGTCTTGTATGAAAGACAGATATGTGAGCAAATAAATATAACCCAGTTGTTAGTGAATCTAAAGAACTAAAAAAAGAACTATGGTCTCAGCTCACTCAATCTTTTTATATTTATGGTTGCTTTTATTCTAGCTGAGGATGGGGCTAGGTAGGCCTGGTTCACTGCAGGACAAAACAGGCTGGATGAGAAGACCTGAAAAAGTACTGGATTAATGGAACAGGACAGGCACATAGAATACAGGCTCTTTTATAGGTACTGGGGGACAATTCAATCTGGAAGGCAAAGGTGCTGTATAGTGATTGCTACAGCTTAGAGAAGAGGAATGACAAGGGTCCAAGCATCTCAACAGGTGGCCCAAGTATAATAATGAAAAACGTAGGAGTGGGCAATGCTTATATTCCAAGAAAGCGAGGATCAGCATCAGGGAATTTCACTAGCAGGTACCAAGCCCTAGCTTCCAGGCTTGAGTTTAAGGGAATTTCTCCGTTTAGCAATCACCCTGCCTACAATACATTCTGTGATAATAAACCTGACAATTATACCAATATAGTCTGTCTTACCTCACCTCTGAAGAGCTAGTGCTCCCCATGGGATTATAGGTCTCAACTCCAGAATGACCTGCAGATACAAGTTAGGATACCTCCTAAGCATGTAGCAAAAAATGTGATGGCTGCCACATGACCCTAAAGGTTGACTCCAATGCCTGTAGCCATTATTCCTGAAATCCGCCCCAAGCTGAAGCCCGTGTGGATTTGTCCATTGAGAGCTTCAAAACTGAGTGCAACAGCAAAAGAAATTATCATCAGAGTGAACAGGCAACCTACAGAATGGGAGAAAATTTTTGCAGTCTATCTATCTGACAAAGGGCTAATATCCAGAATCTACAAGGAACTTGAATTTACAAGAAAAAAAAAACAACCCTATTAAAATGTGGGCAAATGACATGAACAGATGCTTCTCAAAAGAAGACATTTATGCAGCCAACAAACATATGAAAAACAAAAGCTCAACATCACTAATCATTAGAGAAATGCAAATCAAAACCACAATGAGATATCATCTCACACCTATCAGAATGGCAATTATTAATAAGTCAGGAAACAACAGGTGCTGATGAGGCTGTGGAGAAATAGGAACACTTTTATACTGTCGGTGGGAGTGTAAATTAGTTCAATCATTGTGGAAGACAGTGTGGTGATTCCTCAAAGACCTAGAACCAGAAATACCATTTGACCCAGCAACCCCATGACTGGATATATACCCAAAGGAATATAAATCATTCTATTATAAAGATACATGCACGCTAATGTTCACTGCAGCACTATTCACAATAGCAAAGGCATGGAATCACCCCAAATGCACATCAGTGACAGACTGGATAAAGAAAATGTGGTACATATATACCATGGAATACTATGCAGTCACAAGAAGGAACAAGATCGTGTCCTTTGCAGAGACATAGATGGAGCTGGAAGTCATTATCGTCAGCAAACTAACACAGGAACAGAAAACCAAACACTGCATGTTCTCACTTACAAGTGGGAGCTGAACGATGAGAACACATGGACACAGGGAGGGGAACAACACACACTAGAGCCTGTTGGTGGGAGGGGAGAGCATCAGGATAAATACCTAATGAATGCTGGGCTTAATACTTAGGTGATGGGTTGATAGGTGCAGCAAACCACCATGGCACACGTTTACCTATGTAACAAACCTGCACGTCCTGCACATGTATTCCAGAACTTGAAATAATTTAAAAACCTGAGTGCGAGAGCCCAAACCACTGGAGTTATGGACAAGAAGGAAGAGGGTAAGAGTTACATAGATTACTGGTTTCCATTTGGAGGGGATGGGCAGGGAACAAGGAGAGGATAAGAAAGAGGAGAATGTGTATGTTGAATCAATTTTCCTAAGTTCTTCTTTCTCATCTATACATATCCAGTTGAGAATCAGTGGCATAAGTTGAATAATTTTATTTAATACCAACATCTTTATCTGAGGATATTGGGGTGTTTGGTGTTTGGAGAAGGGACTGGAAAGATCACCTTACCTGGACTGACATTCAGTGGAGGGAAATCCAGTCACTTTTCAAAAAAAAATTAAAACCCTGAGCCTTACATAAAGTATATAAATATTCCCATTTAACGAGAATAGGCTTATGAGCAAAGTGCTATTGAGGCTTCAGCACCATGACTCAGAATTTCTTTCAGCTAGAAATTAAAGTCCCAATTGGAGATAGATCCATAGAAACACTGACACACTACCACTCACTCTCAAGCCCCCTGAAAGCCCCCTGACAAACCCTGAGGCTGAAAATGTCTAAGGACATTTTCTGAAAGATTTAAAAGGGGCTTATAAATGTCATGAAGTTACTCTAAAGCCAGATCTATTGGAAGGAGAGGTCCAGAATCACTTCCTGGGGCTGGTCTCTGGCATGAATGCATTGGCCTGGGAGTGAACCTCTATGATACTGGCAGTGGGGCACTGCCAGGCCTGATGGATCTTCTGAGTGTGCATGCTGACCTCCAGTCAGGAACCTGGGTACTAGCTTGTTACTTTCTCCTGAACCCAGCTAAGAGGTTTATTGTATTTTATACAGCAATCCTGAGTGTTTTGTAGCAACAGAGCTTCTATGGAATGTTTAGTTGACCATATGTCCAGAGACATAAGTTCAACTCTTAAAAATGAGAAGGAGAAAGTACCCCTGTGTTGTTATAAAAGTGACACTAAACATTAAGCATGTTTTGGTAGATATGGAGATGCGCCACTCAGAACCCCTTTGAAGAAAGGACCTGCTGCCCAAATGCAAGGTGACATGCAGCCTTAGCTTACCTATAACCACTTCCGGGATCTTTAATATGATGCATGTGCCAATTTGGGTTCTTTGGGAAACAGGCAGTGGGATAGAATTAGGAGCATAAAAAAAAGTTTGTGAAGTAGTATCTGTGAAAACAAAAGGGAGGAAGGAGGACTGGGGAAATATAGCAGTCTGATCACAATATAGACCTGACAAAAGTCTCTGAATAATCTTGGAAGGATGTAGATGGAAACAGCAGCAGCAACCCTAAGGAAAACTCAGATCATTTGATTTCACGGTTAGTACCTGCCAGGTTGTTGGGGTCTCCTTGATGATCTGACCTAAGCTTACAAATGAACACTTGCATCACCAGCCCTCAAGCTTGCACAATGTAAAGGAGTGAGTTCCTAAGGAATGTATGGACCCCTATGCCCACAGACAACTTTCATTCATCTCTGAAATTCTGCATATTACTGACAATAAATGATGATGAAGATAACTGACACTTAAATGTCATTATATTTTTTCTTCAGCAATATTTGATGATTAGAAAAGTTACTAATTGATTGAAACACTACAGGGATGATGTGCCTTTGTAAAGGACAAGCAAAAGAAAAATAACAGTAGATTCCATGTGATTGCAGGGGGTATCTAAGATATTTTTACCTTCCTTGTTTTTCACTTTGATTTCTGGAGAATAACAATCAAACAAATGCTATAACCATGTTCAAAATACTCGTGTTGTCTATTGAGAACCATTATTGTCAGATCCTGAGGAATGGAAATTAGTATTTTGTCTATTTTGTCTATTGAGATCCATTATGGAAACTGACGCTTCTGCATTCCCAAACAAAAGCAGAGAAAGGTACAATAGAACAAAGGAGAGACAGAAAGAAAAACAGAGAGATGGAGATTGACAGAGTCAGAGAGGCAGAGCCTGATGTGGGCTCAGGAGGGAAGTTCAACCTGAGATTTGTCCTCACCCAACCAGGTATACGTATCGTGTATAGAAAATGAAACACACTTTGAAAACAAAAAAATATGGTGGAAATAGGAATGGGGTGGGGGAGTACAGGAGATAAGCATGTTTTTGACTTTTTTCTTTAAATCTATAGCATGAAACACAGTACTGAAAGAAGGGCAAGGCTCAATGCATAGGTAGTGGGTGTTATCTACCATAAATTTCCCCACCATCTTTCCTCCCAGCATTCTGTTTGTCTAGAGTCTGCTCTCACTCTCATCCTTATTACCTACAATTCAATTCACACAAATGACTGGACACTCTCTGGGTTCCCGCCTTTGCTTAGATAAAGAACCTATTCCCTCCCAAGGCCACCATCTCATCCAAAACTCTCACTGGACACGTAGGGAAAGAAAGCCTCAAAGACTAGATGAGACAGACTTGTCTAAGGTCACACAAACACCACCAAGTAGATGATCTAGGAACACAGTTCAGGTCCCAGTGGAGTTGGAACTTCAGGTAGACATGGAGATTCCTCCGTGTGCACAAACTTACTTGTATGCGAGGCTGGGAAGTGTAGCTAAACTGTGAACCCAAAAAGGAGAAAATAAGTAGGTATTTGCAAAACGGTTCTATATACCCCTCTGTCTGTCCCCAAATGTTCTTAAAGGCATGTGGTAGTCACACCATTTGTTAGACTGAAGCAGCAAGGATATGAGTACATCTTACACTGGGAATGCTAATTTCCATTCCTCAGGATCTGACAATCCCAAAGCAGTTAGAAGCTGGTATGCCTGCCAGGCACAGTGGCTCACACCTGTAATCCCAGCACTTTGGGAGGCCGAGGCAGGCGGATCACAAGATCAGGAGATCGAGACCATCCTGGCTAACACGGTGAAACCCCGTCTCTACTAAAAACACAAAAAATTAGCCGGGCGTGGTGGCGGGCGCCTGTAGTCCCACCTATTTGGGAGGCTGAGGCAGGAGAATGGCGTGAACCCAGGAAGTGGAGCTTGCAGTGAGCCGAGATTGTGCCACTGCACTCCAGCCTGGGCAACAGAGAGAGACTCCGTCTCAAAAAAAAAAAAAAAAAAAAAGGCTGGTATGCCTTCTCCATAATCTCTCTTTCTGTCTCTGTCTCTGTCTCTTTCTCTCTCTCTTTCTGTGTGTGTGTATGTGTGTGTGTGTGTGTGTGTGTGTGTGTCTGTGCTTATCAACCAGTCAGATTAAGAGATCCAGTGGAAAATTCTCAAAGGCCCTAGTTACTGTGGAACCTGGATTTCTGAGTCATCACTTAGAAAACTACCAAGAGAGCCACCAGGCTCTCATCAGACATCACTATATGAAAAAAAAATACTTGTACTGTGTTAACCCACTGACATTGGGAATTGTGTATACAGAAGCTAGCATTAATTGCCTTGACTAATACAGAACCCCAACTTCTCTGAGAAACACCCAAATTGAACTTGTCAAAAGATTGAATGGGATCTTACCCATCTAATAGTGTGTGAGTTTGCCAGGACTGCTGTAACAAAGTACCACAGCCGGGTGGCTTAAACAGCAGAAATGTATTGTCTCCTAGTTCTAGAGGCCAGAAGTACAAGATCAAGGAGTCTGCAGGGTTTATTCTGTCTGAGGTCTCTGAGGGAAGGATCTGTTCCAGGCCACTCTTCGACTGGTAGATGCATTACCCCAATCTCTGCTTTTGTCTTCACATCATGTTCTCCGTGTGTGTGTGTGTGTGTGTGTGTGTGTGTGTGTGTGTATGTGTGTGTGTGTGTCTAAATCTCCCCTTCTTATAAGGATACCCGTCATATTGGATTGGTGACCCACCCTACTGTAGTATGATCTTATCCTAACATAACTCATTACACCTGCAACAACTCTATTTTCAAATAAGGTCACATGCTGGGGTCCTGGGAGTTAGGACTTTTGAACATATGAATTTGGCAAAGGGACACAATTCAACCCATTAACAGGTAGTGCCATTGGCAAGGAGCTAGTTTTGTCAGCAGTTGAAAGCCCAAATGCTATTCTTCTAATGGAGAGAGTGCTGGGGAGCCCCACGTTTGGTATAGCCAGCTTCATACAGTTACATCCTTGTCACTGACCTAAAGGAATTTGTAATCATTTCTGTGTACCAGATGGTGTCCCTCAATCACCATTACACTGATGACAAGCACAGTCTCTGACTGAGCTAGATGTTGTGTCTGAAATATCTATTTAGAAGTTGTTATGGACTGAGTTGTGTCCCTCCAAAATTCCTATATTGAAGTCCTAACCCCTGTACTTCAATATGTGACTATATTTGAAGATAGGGTCTTTACAGAGATGATCAAGTTACAGTAAGGTCATTAGGGTAGGCATTAATGTAATCTGAGTAATGTCCTTATAAGAAGAGGAGATTACGACACAGACATACACAGAGAGGAGATAAAGACACAGGGAGGAGAGGATGGCCATCTCCAAGGCAAAGAGAGAGGCCTCAGGAGAAACCAACCCTGCCCACACCTTGATCTCAGATTTCTAACTTCCAGAACTTCGAGAGAATGCATTTCAGTTGTTTAAGCTATCCTGTCTGTAGCACTTTGTTACGGCAGCCTGAGCAAACCCATAGGGAGGTCCTCAAGGAGGAACAGTCCTAAACAAGAACAAGAGCGTCATTAAAATCCCTAAAGAGGCTGGGAACAGCCTTCAGATCCACCTCAATGAAGGCAGGCACTTGCATGGAGATGGAACTCTTTTTTCTTTTCTTTTTTTTTTTTTTTTTTTTGGTGCTGCCACTGCAGCATGTTCTCCCTCCTCTACCCTGCCAGCATTACAATCAATTTGTTACAGGCTTTTCCCATGACTTACATTTCACTAGGTCTGCAGATTCAAACAATGAGCTCTGTGTATTAGATTTCATAGGAAAATTGTGAGTGCACAAACCTATGTGACCAATAGATGCCGTATCAGACTGGGCACCAGAGCTCCTGCTGGGAGTCTTCTCCAAGTAGTGGCAAGAACTGCAACTCAAGAATAAGGGCAACTAAATTAGCATCCCAGAGTTAGAAGGTCCTTTTGTTTAAACCAGTAGTTTTTAGCCCATGATCTTTTACAAGCCCTGCATGCAAACTGGCTCCTGGGTTCCTCAGTCACTGAATGTCAAATGCGGTGAGATGCTGAGGTGGTGCTGCTAAAGTTAGAATGCTCAAAGTTGCCAATTAATTCTGTGCAAAAAGGTATTTACTTCATCATTCTCCACCTTAGGCCCTGCCTGATGTTCTCGAGTTTCTGTCAGTCTGGGGCCTCCTTAGAAGTAACTGCTGGCCTCAGGCTTGGAAACAAAGCAATCACTTAGAGCAAAGTTACTAGCCTATTTGTTGGACAGCAACTGGCTATATTTATCCTCTATTTTTCCCCCACCCCCTCTCACCCCGTATTAGTCTCCAATTGCTGTGTAACAAATTTCCACAAGTGAAGCAGCTATAAATAGCACACATTTATTTTCTCAGTTTCCGTGGGTTAGGAGTCTGGGTACAGCTCAGCTGGGTCCTCTGATTGGGGTCTCACAAGGCTGCAATGATGGTGTCAGTCAGGCTGCATTCTCAACTGAAGCTTAATATCCTCTTCCAAGCCCCCATAGTTGCTGGCAGGATTCGTTTCCTTGTGTGGCATGACTGAGGGCCCTGGCTTTTGCTGGCTCTTAACTGTAAGCTTCCCTCAAGACCTAGAGGCTTAGGCAGCTCACAACATGGCTGTTTGCTTCTTCAAGGGCAGCAGGTCTCTCCACTCTGCAAGGAAGGAACCCCAAATATTGTAACATAATCATAGAAATGATATCCCATCATCTTTGCCATACTCCATTGTTGAGAAGCAAGTCTTGAGTACTGTCCACACTCTAGGGGAAGGGGTTATACAAAAGCATGACTCATTGCAAGTCACCTTTGAGTGTGTCTACCAGCCCCTCCTATCTCCCACTGGCTCACCTTCTACAAGGTTAGGGTTAGTCCTAGATGATAGCAAGCATAGCAGCTGCTGACAGCTTCTATTCATAATACCACCAATGGAGTTTGGGGGGAGGGGCA
The DNA here is from genome assembly GCF_000001405.40 of Homo sapiens. NCBI lineage: Eukaryota > Metazoa > Chordata > Mammalia > Primates > Hominidae > Homo > Homo sapiens. The sequence goes on from NC_000023.11 coordinate 152,575,275, forward strand.
CTCAGCATGCCCCTTGTTATCGTGTTCTCCTTTCAATGCACCTGTAATACCAGGTGCATTTCTTCATGGTCATCACTATCTTCCCAGTTAAGTCACATATGGATTATCACCTGTTTGTGCATTCAAAGCTCAGGACCAATCCCACAATATCACATGGACCAGCAGCATCAGCATCCTATGAAAACTTGTTAGAAGTGCAAATTATCTGGCTCTACACCAGACTTACTGAGTCAGAAACTCCAGGGTGGAGCCCAGCAGTCTGTGTTTTAACAAGTCCTTGAGGGCATGCTGATGCATGCTCAAAGCTGAATACCACTGAGTTCAGAAATAGGCTTTATAGAGAAAGCAGAACTCTAATAGCCAAGAAGCACATGAGAAAAGAAAATTTAGTTTCCCCTGCATATTAGTCTGGTAGTGCTGCCATAACGAAGTACCACAGACTGGGGAGCTTAAGCCACAAAAATGTATTGTCTCATAGTTCTGGAGGCCAGAAGTCTGAGATCAAGGTGGCAGCAAGGTTGGTTCCTTCTGAGGGCTCTCTCTTTGGCTTGTAGATGGCATCTTCTCCCTGTGTCTTCACATGATCTTCCTTCTATGTGTCTCTGTGCCCTAATCTTCTCTTCTTATAAGGCATCAATCAGACTGGATTAGGGCCCACCATAGTGACCTCATTTTACCTTAATTACCCCCTTTAAAGACCTCATTTCCAAATTCAGTTACATTCTGAAGTACTTGGGGGTTAAGACTTCAACTTTGAGGTGCTAATTATTCCTAGGAGTTGTTTGGGAATGCCAATAGCTCAGCACTGGGAGATCTTTGGGCATGTGAGATGTTGTCAGTCCCCTGCTAGAGGAGGAACTGCTGGTCCTATTAGAAGCTGAACTTAGAAAAAATACACCCTCTGGAGGAATGGAAGGGTTAGTTCCAACTAACTGGTTGTCCAGCAACCCCCAGAGTGAGCTCCCAAGATCACATTTAGATAATGCTGTCCATAGCACTTGCTATGGTTTGAATGTGTCTCCCAAAGTTTATGTGTTGGAAATTTGGTCCCCAGTGCATTAAGAGGTGGGACCTTTAAGAAGTAATTAAGTCATGAAAACTCTGCCCTAATCAATAGATTAATGTCATTATCTCAGGAATAGGCTTTTTATAGAAGAGAAGAGTCTCAGTCTCTCTCTCTCTCTCTCTCTCTCTCTCTCTCTCTCTCTCTCGCTCTCTCTCTCTCTCTCTCTCTCTCTCTCCCTCTCTCCCCCTTCTGACATGGGATGATGCAGCAAGAAGGCCCTCACAAGACGCAGCCCCTTCATCTTGGAATTGTCAGCCCCTAGAACTGTAAGACATAAATCTCTTTTCTTTATAGATTACCCAGTCTCATGTATTCTGTTACAGCAACACAAAACAGAGTAGATAGCACCACATTAGTAGGCCTCTCTGGTTTACGAAGACAAATAAAGTCACACTGACAGCAATAATTCAAATTTCACTGACATGTTTCCTGCAAAGTCCACCTCAAGCATTTTTAGGTGTCTCTTCTGTGCTCACAAACAATTTGCTCCTGCTGGAATGACTGCTGCACCCCTGGGCCATGCTGTTCCCTCCATGCTGATGCTCCAATAAGCACTCCACTCCACTGCTCTGTTAGCCACAAGAGTCCAACACTGTCTGTCACCCTTCTGCCAGAGCCCATGCTACTGCTGTTAGATAATGTATATACAGCCTTCCCTCAGTATTGTGAGGGATTGGCGTCTGGACTCCCTCAGATACCCAAATCCACAGATGTTCAAGTCCCGTATGTAAAATGGTGTAGTGTTTGCACATAACCTACACACATCTTCCTGTATGCTTTAAATCATCTCTAGATTACTTACAATACTTGATACAATGTCAATGCTATGTAAATAGTTGTTATACTGCATTGCTTAGGGAATAATGACAGGAAAAACTCTGTTCATATTCAATGCAGATGCAACTATTCTTTTAAAAAATATATTTTTGATCTGCAATTGGTTTAATCCAGAGATGCAGAACCCATGGATGCAGAGGGCCAACCGCACAGCCTTGCACAGCTCTAACAGCAGACCCCATCAAGTGACAATTAGGCACTGCTCTGCTGGGTACAGAAGGTCCTACAAGTGCTACTATTTTGCTAGGAATGGTTTTCTTTTGTGCTATTCTTCTGGGTTTAGGAGGAATCCATTTGTTGCCTCTATGAGCTCTCAAAACTATAGAACTAAATGTTCGTTTTTGAAAAGTACAGAAGAATGTCTCTCTCCCCTTTGTGTTGCACTCTGTTATTGAATCTCATGTTTCTTTCAGAGCCCACTGAAGAGAAGCTTTTTATCCAGTTTGAAAGATCACATATTGTGTCAGGTGTGTATGCTTAGACCAATAAGCTATGGCCAGGGGACAAAGGTCACATCAGCTCCACTCTGTGGTCACAGAGTAGAGGGGTTTGTCCTTATGTATCAAAGCCATTTCTAGGAAATTAGGGAGACATCTCAATGTCTTTTTCTTTTAATATTTGACACGTGTTTATTCTATATTTGTAGTACAGTCGTATTTTCAACTTTTTGAAAATGATATATTATCAAAAATATAATTAAATTCAGTTTAGATTTCATACGTACTTTATAACATAAAATGACCGTTTTAACCATTTTTAAGTATACAGTTCAGTGACATTGAGTACATTCACATTGTTGTCCAACCATCACCACCATCCAGAACTTTTTTCTCATCTTGCAAAACTGAAACTCCACTCCCATTAAACCCTAACTCCTCATTCCTCTGCCCCTTCAGCCCAAGGCAACCACCATTCATTCTGTGTATGAACTTGACTACTCTGGCATCTCATATAAGTACAATCATGCAGTATTGGTCCTTTTCAGGCTGGATCATTTTACTTACCATAATGTCCAGTTGGCTTTTACACTCTCCCATTCTACTAATAGAATTGCAAACAGATGCACGTCTCTTCATCTCAGAATTTTTTTTAATGCCTCAGTTCTGTCACTCCTCCAAATACAGACTTGTCCCTCTCTTCCTTTTACTTGACCACTTGCTTTCTAAGCAATTGCACTCTAGTTTCCATGCCACTCTCCATATTCACCAATGACCTCCTAATCAATTAATTTAATGGATTTCCCCATGAAAATTCATCTGTCTTGATGTTTCCATAGAATTGAACAGACAGTACATTGTTTATGCAAGATTCGTATAATTATTATTCAATGGAAGAACATTTCATTTCCATTTTAAAGATGGAGAAACTGAGCCTCAGAGTTTCATTTGTTTATTCACAAAACAAATATGTCTTGAGTTCCTCCTATACTAGTCCTACTACTGGGTACTGAAGAAAGAACAATGAGCTTCACAGGTATTATGTATGCAAAATATTACATATAAGTATATAATTATGAATTGTAGTTAGTATGGATAGTTTTTTCAAATATTTTTGATCTGCAGTTGGTTGAATCCATCAGTAGAATGCACCAATAGAATAGATTGAATGCATCAATAAAATAGAAGATACAGGATTGCTGAGGGTTCACAGGAACGCCTGATTCAGATTGAAAGTGAAGTGGGTAGGAGTGGGATGAGGCAACTTTGAAGGATATTTTAGTCGTGCCTGGGCTTTTGAAAATCAAACAATATAAAGAATAATAATGCAAAGTAACATTTCCCTACATGACCCCAATCCTGCTCTCCAGAAGTACTCCTTTGAAGTCTTTTAGCTGATTCTGATTTTTATCTTCTGGAGACTCAAACCACATCTCTAAACCATCTGCTTATACTACTCTTGGGTGCTTTATCATTTTCAATGGTATTTATTGACATCTCTGGAAGACAAGGCTTTAACTCAGTAGCATCACCTCCCCACACAGTCTTTCTCCCCACTTCCCCATACAACTACGGACCATTTTTGCCTCCTTTATGTGTCGCCTTTACCTAGCTATCTGAACTCTCACTATCCAATAATTGGCTATAACCTCTTGTAAAAATGTCTATCCAAAATTTAGTCTCTGAAGTGAGAACTTGCTCTAGTGAATCCTCATGTAATGTCAGCCAAAATGTTTAGGTTGTGAATTACTCCTGTAGGAGGTTAGAACCTTGTCTAAATATGCTAGGCATTATTTTCATCATCATCCTCACCATTACCCTAATGGTTTTGCTTTTAATGGGTCCCAGCATTTACTTCTGCCAGGTTCCTAGGAGAACTACTAAACCTGGGTCCGATTTAGATATTATTTGTAATGTGCCATTACATTGTTTATTTATATTACAGTACACGTCATTGAAGGGCACAGAGAAAATCAAGTTCAGAGCCAATACTCTACCGTGGTATTGCCTATTACTCACAAATATACTCACTAATGAATTCCCTAACTGTTAAATAATTAGGCAAATGGTGTTTACAATGTTTTGTATTATGCAGAAATCTTTGGTTGGTTGTTATATAAATGTTTCAGGGTATTTTAGTAATATCTAGAAAAATGGGTTGGGGTTTTTGAATGGGCTGCAAATGCAATGGGTTTTCTTCAGTCAAATCATGAAAAATGCTGCTGTAATCTGAATATTTGCTTTCCAATATGTTTTCAGAAATGAGCTAGATTCAGATAATGAGGAATTCCTGTACTTGCACTTCTATTTCTTATTCCTTGAGCTATAAAATCCCTTGACTCTCCATGTAAAATGAAGATATAACACCGTTACCTATTCCCTTTGTTTCTTCTCTCCTTTGTCAAAGACTCTCTCCTTTGACCAAATCTTTAGTCAGCTGAAACTGCCTTCAGCAATAATCCTGTCAGTCAGGTTAGCCAGAAACTCCTTATCCTTGATATTTCCTCTTAGTAATTTTCTATCCACTGATGCCCCCTCCCCCACCCTGCTCCCTGATTATAAATCCCCACTTGTCCATGCTGGAGTCCGAATCCAATCTCTGTCCTCCACTGCAAGACTCCATTGCAGTGGTCCCTGTACCTATCACCACTTACTCTCTCGAATAAGATCTGCCTTACCAACTTTAACAAGTGTCATGTATAATTTTTAACACCTTCTACTCCCTACCCATTTCTGCCTCTGTACTTGTATTCTTTTGTTGTCAAGGTTGATAACATTTAGATTCTGTTCTATAAATCTAAAAGTGCTTTGTCTATAGTTGGTTCTAAAAGTTGAAAATCAATATATGGTAATTACATTACTATAACTATTCAATATTGCTTGCTGCACATCTCAGTAATGTATTATATTCTTTTCCTAATACAACGTTTTTGCCTTCCTGGAGGCTTTATTTGCATTTCTTGTTTTCTTTGTTTGCCTCTATCATCTCCTTCTTAGGATAATCCACATTCCTAAGGATCCAGATAAATCTCCAGAATCCCCTTTACTCCTAGATGCTCCTTTCTGAGTCCTCTGTCCTCCTGCATCCATGGTGACTGGGTGTTCTTTAGGCCAGTTGCTCAACTGTCATCCCAGGACTCCCCTTCATTGATCTCCTCGGCTGAATGTTTTCTGATACTCATGTCATTCTCTTTCTAGGTTTATACCTCATTCTTACACACATACCCAAGGAACATATTGAGAAAAGGTGCATGGGGATTGAATTTTATAAATTCCTGATGATCTAAAAATGCCTCTATTCTACCCTCACACTTAACTGATCATTTTCAAGATATGGAGTACTAGGTCAAAAAGAATTTTCCCTCAGATTTTGGAGATCTTGTTCTTTTGAATGTAACCTGTTTCACCACGTCTTTGGATGCATTTAGAATCTGCTCTTTATCACTACTGTTTTGGAATTTCACGCTAATATACTTTGACAAATTTTTAATTTTCGTTTGCTGTACTGGATGCCTGGTACTCTTTCAAACTTAAGGTTGATATTTTTTTCTTCAGCCTAGAGATGTTTTATTCTATTACTACTTTGGTGATTTTCTCTCATCCACTTTTTTCTGTTATTTATTTATGGAACTCTTATTAGTCATATGGATTCAGAAATGTCACTTTGCTCTGAAATGATTATTATTGCAACTGTATACTTCACATCCTATAATGAGGAGGAACAGATACTTTACACCCTGAGATAAACAAACAGAAACCAGGGTCACCCTACCTAGTTTTCTTTCCCCAAAAGAAGCCAATCCTTAAGCCTTTCCTGAAAGTTACTGACTCCCTAAGAAAAACAATTCTCTCTTGCCTTTTGTGATGTCAGTGTCTGCAGATATGTTGCAATCCTTTAAAAAATGATAATCATGTGAGAAAATTGTTGTTTTCCACCATAAACTAAATGTAAATTCAGTAACCTCTAGTTTTGTTAATCTTCTAATCTTCTAGTTTTTGTTTTTATTCCCCCCACTTCAAATACTTGTTACTCCTTTTACAGCCTGGACTGCCTTGCAGACCTTTTCTACAATTAAACTTCTTTGCTTACTGAAAGCTTTCATCCCTGAGGCTTGTTTTCTTGCTCAGATAATGGACTCAATCACACAAGAAGGAATAATAGAGATTACGGTATAAGTCTAGTCCTGTGTAATTTGGGGTACTCTAGTTATTTAAATTTACCATCTGCTTTTTATTAAATTTGCAATCTTCTCTAGATATGAATAATTCCCAAATAGACCTTTTGGTTAAAAGACTCGATGGGGTGGAGCCAAGATGGCCGAATAGGAACAGCTCCAGTCTACAGCTCCCAGCGTGAGCGATGCAAAAGATGGGTGATTTCTGCATTTCCAACTGAGGCACCGGGTTCATCTCATGGGGGAGTGCCGGACAGTGGGTGCAGTGCACCATGCATGAGCCAAAGCAGGGCAAGGCATCGCCTCACCCGGGAAGTGCAAGGGGTCAGGGAATTCCCTTTCCTAGTGAAAGAAAGGGGTGACAGACGGCACCTGGAAAATCGGGTCACTCCCATCCTAATACTGCCCTCTTCCAATGGGCTTAACAAATGGCACACCAGGAGATTATATCCCGCACATGGCTCAGAGGGTCCTACGCCCACGGAGCCTCGCTCATTGCTAGCACAGCAGTCTGAGATCAAACTGCAAGGCGGCAGTGAGGCTGGGGGAGGGGTGACCACCATTGCTCAGGCTTGAGTAGGTAAACAAAGCGGCCTGGAAGCTCGAACTGGGTGGAGCCCACCACAGCTCAAGGAGGCCTGCCTGCCTCTGTAGGCTCCACCTCTGGGGGCAGGGCACAGACAAACCAAAGACAGCAATAACCTCTGCAGTCTTAAATGTCCCTGTCTGACAGCTTTGAAGAGAGTAGTGGTTCTCCCAGCACGCAGCTTGAGATCTGAGAACGGGCAGACTGCCTCCTCAAGTGGGTCCCTGACCCCCGAGTAGCCTAACTGGGAGGCAACCCCAGTAGGGGCGGACTGACACCACACACGGCCTGGTACTCCTCTGAGACAAAACTTCCAGAGGAATGATCAGGCAGCAACATTTGTGGTTCACCAATATCTGCTGTTCTGCAGCCACCGCTGCTGATACCCAGGCAAACAGGGTCTGGGGTGGACCTCCAGTAAACTCCAACAGACCTGCAGCTGAGGGTCCCGACTGTTAGAAGGAAAACTAACAAACAGAAAGGATATCCACACCAAAAACCCATCTGTACGTCCCCATCATCAAAGACCAAAGGTAGATAAAACCACAAAGATGGGGAAAAAACAGAGCAGAAAAACCAGAAACTCTAAAAATCAGAGCGCCTCTCCTCCTCCAAAGGAACGCAGCTCCTCACCAGCAACGGAACAAAGCTGGACGGAGAATGACTTTGACGAGTTGAGAGAGGAAGGCTTCAGAAAATCAAACTACTCCGAGCTAAAGGAGGAAGTTCGAACCAATGGCAAAAAAGTTAAAAACTTTGAAAAAAAATTAGACGAATGGATAACTAGAATAACCAATGCAGAGAAGTCCTTAAAGGACTTGATGGAGCGGAAAACCAAGGCACGAGAACTACGTGATGAATGCACAAGCCTCAGTAACCGATGCGATCAACTGGAAGAAAGGGGATCAGCGATGGAAGACGAAATGAATGAAATGAAGCAAGAAGAGAAGTTTAGAGATAAAAGAATAAAAAGAAATGAACAAAGCCTCCAAGAAATATGGGACTGTGTGAAAAGACCAAATCTACGTCTGATTGGTGTACATGAAAGTGATGGGGAGAATGGAACCAAGTTGGAAAACACTCTTAAGGATATTATCCAGGAGAACTTCCCCAATCTAGCAAGGCAGGTCAACACTCAAATTCAGGAAATACAGAGAATGCCACAAAGATACTCCTCGAGAAGAGCAACTCCAAGACACATAATTGTCAGATTCACCAAAGTTGAAATGAAGGAGAAAGTGTTAAGGGCAACCAGAGAGAAAGGTCGGGTTACCCACAAAGGGAAGCCCATCAGACTAACAGCTGATCTCTCGGTAGAAACTCTACAAGCCAGAAGAGAGTGGGGGCCAATATTCAACATTCTAAAAGAAAAGAATTCTCAACCCAGGATTTCGTATCCAGCCAAACTAAGCTTCAAAACTGAAGGAGAAATAAAATCCTTTACAGACAAGCAAATGCTGAGAGATTTTGTCACCACCAGGCCTGCCCTAAAAGAGCTCCTGAAGGAAGCACTAAACATGGAAAGGAACAACCGGTACCAGCCACTGCAAAAAACATGCCAAATTGTAAAGACCATCAAGTCTAGGAAGAAACTCCATCAACTAACGAGCAAAATAACCAGCTAACATCATGATGACAGGATCAAATTCACACATAACAATACTAACCTTAAATGTAAATGGGCTAAATGCTCCAATTAAAAGACACAGACTGGCAAATTGAATAAAGAGTCAAGACCCATCAGTGAGCTGTATTCAGTAAACCCATCTCATGTGCAGAGACACATATAGGCTCAAAATAAAGGGATGGAGGAAAATCTACCAAGCAAATGGAAAACAAAAAAAGGCAGGGGTTGCAATCCTAGTCTTGGATAAAACAGACTTCAAACCAACAAAGATCAAAAGAGACAAAGAAGGCCATTACATAATGGTAAAGGGATCAATTCAACAAGAAGAACTAACTATCCTAAATATATATGCACCCAATACAGGAGCACTCAGATTCATAAAGCAAGTCCTTAGTGACCTACAAAGAGACTCAGACTCCCACACAATAATAACGGGAGACTTTAACACCTCACTGTCAACATTAGGCAGATCAACAAGACAGAAAGTTAACAAGGATATCCAGGAATTGAACTCAGCTCTGCGCCAAGTGGACCTAATAGACATCTATAGAACTCCCCACCCCAAATCAACAGAATATACATTCTTTTCAGCACCACACCGCACCTATTCCAAAATTGACCACATAGTTGGAAGTAAAAGAGTCCTCAGCAAATGTAAAAGAACAGAAATGATAACAAACTGTCTCTCAGACCACAGTGCAATCAAACCAGAACTCAGGATTAAGAAACTCACTCAAAACCACTCAATTACATGGAAACTGAACAACCTGCTCCTGAATGACTACTGGGTACATAACGAAATGAAGGCAGAAATAAAGATGCTCTTTGAAACCAACGAGAACAAAGACACAACATACCAGAATCTCTGGGACACATTCAAAGCAGTGTGTAGAGGGAAATTTATAGCACTAAAGGCCCACAAGAGAAAGCAGGAAAGATCTAAAATTGACACCCTAACATCACAATTAAAAGAACTAGAGAAGCAAGAGCAAACACATTCAAAAGCTAGCAGAAGGCAAGAAATAACTAAGAACAGAGCAGAACTGAAGGAAATAAGACACAAAAAACCGTTCAAAAAATCAGTGAATCCAGGAGCTGGTTTTTTGAAAAGATCAACAAAATTGACAGACCGCTAGCAAGACTAATAAAGAAGAAAAGAGAGAAGAATCAAATAGACGCAATAAAAAACGACAAAGGGGATATCACCACCGATCCCACAGAAATACAAACTACCATCAGAGAATAGTATAAACACCTCTATGCAAATAAACTAGAAAATTTAGAAGAAATGGATAAATTCCTCAACACATACACTCTCCCAAGACTAAACCAGGAAGAAGTTGAATCTCTGAATAGACCAATAACAGGCGCTGCAATTGAGGCAATAATTAATTTCTTGCCAACCAAAAAAAGTCCAGGACCAGATGGATTCACAGCCGAATTCTACCAGAGGTACAAGGAGGAGCTGGTACCATTCCTTCTGAAACTATTCCAATCAATAGAAAAAGAGGGAATCCTCCCTAACTCATTTTATGAGGCCACCATCATCCTGATACCAAAGCCTGGCAGAGACACAACAAAAACAGAGAATTTTAGACCAATATCATTGATGACCATTGATGCAAAAATCCTCAATAAAATACTGGCAAACCGAATCCAGCAACACATCAAAAAGCTTATCCACCATGATCAAGGGGGCTTCATCTCTGCGATGCAAGGCTGCCCTTCAACATACGAAAATCAATAAACGTAATCCAGCATATAAACAGAACCAAAGACAAAAACCACATGATTATCTCAATAGATGCAGAAAAGGCTTTTGACAAAATTCAACAGCCCTTCATGCTAAAAACTCTCAATAAATTAGGTATTGATGGGACATATCTCAAAATAATAAGAGCTATCTATGACAAACTCACAGCCAATATCATACTGAATGGGAAAAAACTGGAAGCATTCCCTTTGAAAACTGGCATAAGACAGGGATGCCCTCTCTCACCACTCCTATTCAACATAGTGTTGGAAGTTCTGGCCAGGGCAATCAGGCAGCAGAAGGAAATAAAGGGCATTCAATTAGGAAAAGAGGAAGTCAAATTGTCCCTGTTTGCAGATGACATGATTGTATATCTAGAAAACCCCATCATCTCAGCCCAATATCTCCTTAAGCTGATAGGCAACTTCAGCAAAGTCTCAGTATACAAAATCAATGTGCAAAAATCACAAGCATTCTTATACACCAGTAAGAGACAAACAGAGAGCCAAATCATGAGCGAACTCCCATTCACAATTGCTTCAAAGAGAATAAAATACCTAGGAATACAACTTACAAGAGATGTGAAGGACCTCTTCAAGGAGAACTACAAACCACTGCTCAACGAAATAAAAGAGGATACAAACAAATGGAAGAACATTCCATGCTCATGGGTAGGAAGAATCAATATCGTGAAAATGGCCATACTGCCCAAGGTAATTTATAGATTCAATGTCGTCTCCATCAAGCTACCAATGACTTTCTTCACAGAATTGGAAAAAACTACTTTAAAGTTCATATGGAACCAAAAAAGAGCCCGTGTTGCCAAGTCAATCCTAAGCCAAAAGAACAAAGCTGGAGGCATCACACTACCTGACTTCAAACTATACTACAAGGCTACAGTAACCAAAACAGCATGGTACTGGTACCAAAACAGAGATATAGACCAATGGAACAGAACAGAGCCCTCAGAAATAATGCCGCATATATACAGCTATCTGATCTTTGACAAATCTGACAAAAACGAGCAATGGGGAAAGGATTCCCTATTTAATAAATGGTGCTGGGAAAACTGGCTAGCCATATGGAGAAAGCTGAAACTGGATCCCTTCCTTACACCTTATACAAAAATTAATTCAAGATGGATTAAAGACTTACGTGTTAGACCTAAAACCATAAAAACCCTAGAAGAAGACCTAGGCAATACCATTCAGCACATAGGCATGGGCAAGGACTTCATGTCTAAAACACCAAAAGCAATGGCAACAAAAGACAAAATTGACAAATGGGATCTAATTAAACTAAAGAGCTTCTGCACAGCAAAAGAAACCACCATCAGAGTGAACAGGCAACCTACAGAATGGGAGAAAATTCTTGCAATCTATCCATCTGACAAAGGGCTAATATCCAGAATCTACAATGAACTCAAACAAATTTACAAGAAAAAAAAAACAAACAATCCCATCAAAAAGTGGGCGAAGGATATGAACAGACACTTCTCAAAAGAAGACACTTATGCAGCCAAAAAACACATGAAAAAATGCTCAGCATCACTGGCCATCAGAGAAATGCAAATCATAACCGCAATGAGATACCATCTCACACCAGTTAGAATGGCAATCATTAAAAAGTCAGGAAACAACAGGTGCTGGAGAGGATGTGGAGAAATAGGAACACTTTTACACTGTTGGTGGGACTGTAAACTAGTTCAACCATTGTGGAAGTTGGTGTGGCAATTCCTCAAGGATCTAGAACTAGAAATACCATTGGACCCAGCAATCCCATTACTGGGTATATACCCAAAGCATTATAAATCATGCTGCTATAAAGACACATGCACACATATGTTTATTGCGGCACTATTCACAATAGCAAGGACTTGGAACCAAGCCAAATGTCCAACAATGATAGACTGGAATAAGAAAATGTGGCACATATACACCATGGAATACTATACAGCCATAAAAAAGGATGAGTTCATGTCCTTTGTAGGGACATGGATGAAGCTGGAAACCATCATTCTCAGCAAACTATCGCAAGGACAAAAAACCAAGCACCACATGTTCTCACTCATAGGTGGGAATTGAACAATGAGAACACATGGACACAGGAAGGGGAACATCACACACCGGGGACTGTTGTGGGGTGGGGGAGGGGGGAGGGATAGCATTAGGAGATATACCTAATGCTAGGTGACGGGTTGGTGGGTGCAGTGCACCAACATGGTACATGTATACACGTGTTGCGGGCCTGCACATTGTGCTCGTGTATCCTGGAACTTGAAGTATAATAATAAAAAATAAAAATAAAAAAAAATAAAAGACTCGTGGCCTAAGATTTAAAGGGAAAAATTTATCAGGGTTACTAAATTTACAGTTTAGTTGTTTGTGATAGAAAAAAAACCTAATTTTCTAACATGACAGTTCACATATATTCAGAAAGCTCCACAGGTAATATATCAGAGCTCCAGACCCTCAGTGGAAAGTTAGCAGACCAGTCTGTAGGATGTACAAGGGAACTGCTTTGTCATATATTTATACAAGATGTTTAAACAAGATGGATCAGCAGCTGTTATATGTTAAAAAGGAGCTGACTGAAGAAAAGAAAGCCCTACCATTTTACTTTGGAGGTAACAATACCAGCATAGCAGGAATTCCTGACAACCACTGGTTGCAGAGAAAGTAGTTTGTTTACTGGAATCTGATGAAAAAGTAACCAAACTGGCATGCCTTCAGTTTGAGAGTATTTCTTACATACAACTGCTGTCACTCTATTCCAGGGGAGATTCCAATTGCATTGCTTCACTGCTACATTTGTAGATCTGAGGTTTAAAAAGAAATGTTTTTCAAGTGATTATGTAAAGCAGTAAATGCTTGCAAAAATATTAGAAATATATATGTATGCCACACTCTTTAAACTGATTTTGAAAATAATCAGAAAGCACCTTCTTTAAGCACTACACAAAGCTACTAGGTATTAATAATTATTGCAAAACCCTAGTAATAAAAGGAGTGTAGTAGCAGAGCAGTAACTCAAAAGTAATCCAATGGAACAAAATAGCCCAGAAACACATCTGTATATTTATGGGATCTTAGTATATGATAGAGGTATATCATATAGAGTATATGATAGAGGTATCATAAATTAATGTGGGGAAGAGAAATCACTTAGTAAATAGCATGGGTAAAATTGGCTCATTGTATGGAGAAATAGAAATTTGTTTATCTATTTACACTATGTACAAAAATAAACTTTTCATGGATTAAAGATATAAAGGTGAAAAGTGAATCTATAAAGATAATAAAAGCAAGCTAAGAATTTGGAGACCTCACGACACGAAAAGAATTCTTAAATAAACCTCCAAAAGCACAAACAGTAAGGTGAAAAGACAATGGATTTGACTATACCAAAATTAAAGTCTTCTTTTCAACAATGGACACCATAGACAAAGTTAACAGGAGGGTGAGAAAGATATTTGCAATGTCTAAAGCTAGCAAAAAAGTAATATCTAGGATGAGCAAGAAATTTCTTCTAAATCACAAGTATAAGACAGACATTCCAGTAGGAAAATGGGCAAAAGATAAGAAAGACAGCCTCACATGTATACATATGTAACTAACCTGCAGAATGTGCACATGTACCCTAAAACTTAAAGTATAATAAAAATAAATAAATAAAAAATAAAAATAAAAATAAAGATTAAAAAAAAAAAAAAAAAGAAAGGCAGCCTCATGCCTGGGATTATATCCCAAGAGAAGCTTACTGAAATACAAAAGGAGATACATAAAAGAATGTTTACTGAAGTGATGCTGTGGGGAGCAAGGAGTGGAGTATCTACAATGTCCATCATTAGGTACGTGAAGTAGTACACAACAGTCAGAAATAAGGAATTAATTTTACATGCAGCAAAAGGTAGCTCTCATAAACATAATGTTGCATAAAAGGGGCAAGAAAGATATGCATTTAAAACGTTATGCAATTTTTAAATTAAACACGTGCAATACTCTGATTTTTCAAAGACACACATGCCTCTAAATATTCACATATTAGTTGGATTGAACGGACACTCCCTAAATATTCATGGGTGGGCCCAAGAAAAGGAAGTGTAGAAGGAACGGGAAATGAAATGGAAAACAATAAAAGAAAATAAAGCAAAAAGAGGTCTTCCACCATTCAATGATGTTGGTGTGCCTTGAACAGTGGAGTCTGATCAATTTAGTTTTGTACATCTGAGGCCCTAAAGGAGAAAATAAGGCCACGCAGAATCTGAAAATCAAGTATAGTCAAACTACCCTTGAAAATCCTTAAACTACAATCCATTCATTCATTTACCAAATGTTTATGGAGCACCTGCTTTGTGCTGAGCACTGTCCTAGATGCTTGAGATGCAGGAGGGAACAAAACAAAGGTCACTGCCCTGTGGGAACTTTCCTCCCAGAAGGAGAAGACAGACAATAAATGAGAAATATTATAATTCAATTCTTTAGCATGTTTAAAGGTAATATATGCCATGAAAACAATAACAGAAAGCAGAATAAGCAGGATTAGGAGTGTTTGTGGGGGCGGGGGATCCATAACTTTGAGTCAAGGTAAGTCTCATTGAGAAGCTGACATTGGAAAAGAAACTTGAAGGAGGTGAGGGAGTTTGCACTGACTCCTCCTTCATTGTCTGGCAGAGGAATGATCAAGGTAGAGGAACCAGCCAATGTCAAAGCTCTGAGACGGGAGCATGCCTGGCACGTTCAGGGAATGGCAAGGAAGCCAGCATGGCTGGAGCTGAGTGAGCCAAGGGGAGCACAGTAGGAGGTGAGGGCACAGGTGATGGGGTGCCAGATTGAGTAGGGCCTTATAAGACCACCTGTTCTGTTGCATTTAGCCCAAATCAGTGCTGTAAGAAATAACACATAGTCTACAGCCTGGAAGTGCCTAAGGACAGAGCTGACTTGCTCCTGGAAGCATTTTCTCCAGCAATGAGCATAGTGACTGGCACATAGTAGGCATTCGTGATGACTTTTAATGAAAGAATGAATGGAATGAATGAATAGCCAGATAAAACAAGGCATTATGCCTGGCAATATAATTGACCAAAAAAAGAAAAAAAAAGGTTCCGTGGAAAGAGCACTGAATGTGGAGTCAGAATTCCTAGGTTTTAATCCTGATTTATGAACTTCATGTATGACTTTCTGCAAGTCCCTTCCCTCCTCTTTCTCACACATATCTAGAAAACAAAGAGGTGATGGTGAGAAGAGTGATGGACTAGGTGATTTCTATGGGTTCTTATTGCCCTGATGGTCTATGACAAGAGTGGTCACAACTTGATAAATGGTGTTTGATCAAATCCAGATAGTTGGGATATAGGAGTGGGGCATGCCACCATGGGATCCAAGTTTTAGCCTCTGTCAAAGAATGTGAAGGAGACAAGATGCCTCAGAACCCGAAAGCCTCAGGAGGAAAGGCAACAGTTCTTGTCATTGTTAAAGCCTTGTCTTTGCCATGCAGGGCAATGGTACACACCAAGACTAGAAGCCATTAGCTGGAGAAATATATAACCCTGATGCAGGGCCTTGGCAAATGAGGGAAACACCAAAGACCTGGAGAAGGCGACATAAAATCAAGAGCTTCCTAGTACAGAGAACCCTAGGAAGTTGGAAATGAAAGGGCTGTTAAGCATCCTTCTAATCCAATCTCTTAATTTGAAGATACAGTGAAACAGGCCAAAAGATAAGAAGGCAGCTTGACTAATGTCACACACATAGTATGTGGCAGAATCAGAACCAGACACAAGGCTGCCAATTTCAAATCCAGTGCCCCAGCTGTGTCTTCAAATAGGAAGCCCATGTCCTACCCTACATTCAGAAAAGGGTAAGTCTATAAATGATTTGGAACTGGAAGACAGAGAATGACCTGTGCACAGATTACAAAGAAAGTAAACAAAGAAATGAAAAGTTTGAACCTTCTCTCCAGAAAAAATCTTCATATATGTGCAATTTTGCCTGTATTTTCAAGAGATGATTTTACTCTAGGTTGAGAACCCATATAGTATATCATAGAATCCTCATGACTCAGAGAAGGAAAGGACTCTGTCATTGAGTCCACTCTTACTGAGCATCTCTGACAGCTCTGATGTTCATCTATTTTCTCTGTTGGAACCTTTTCCTAATATTCTGATCACATGAACACTGTATTGCTTTTGGCCAAAGGCCACTATAGTACTTAAAGCAGAGTAGATATGTTGTGAGCTTTAAAATAAGTTAGTAGGATTAAAATAGACCAAATGAAAGTGAGTTTCTAAGAGTAAAAACAGGTCTTATTTTAAGATTGTGTTCATAAAAGGAGTCATCCAATTTATACATCTCTGGTCATTTTATCTGCAGCATTAAACCAGTTTTCACTTGGAGTTCTGATATTACATTTCAAAACAAAAATGCTACAGTTTATGCCTACATCCATCCTGTACAGTAATTTACTTCATTCTTTTTCTAATGTTGTTTTACAGGTAAATTAAATATCGCTGCCAGAAACTTATTAAAGGATTATAGTTTCAGAGAAACAGAGAAAAAAGTAAATGTAGAAGGCCCTACAGAAGCAGAATTGCTGGGGTGGATTTATAGAAGGTCACACGCATTTGGAAAACTAAGATAAATTGATGACTACTCTAAATTTTAAGTTTGTGATTCAGGTAGCCAGTCTGTGTCTTCAAACAAGACACAGACTGTTTCATGTTTTTTAATGTTTATATTTTTTAATCAACTTCTTTCAGAAGCTGAGGTATAATTGACATACAAATAAGTGAACACAATTAAAGTATACAATTTAAGTTTTGTACATATTTGTGAAACCATCACCCTAAAGAAGATAGTGAACATATTCATCACCCCAGAACATTGCCTCATTCCCTTGCAACCATTATTTCCCATCCCTTCCCAATCTCCAACTCCCAGACAAAAATTGATCTGCACTGTCACTATAGACTACTTCGCATTTTATAGAATTTTATATAAATTGAATCATACAGTGTGTACTTTTCTTTGTTTAGCTTCTTTCAGTCAGCATAATTATTTTGAGATTCATCCATGATATAATATGTATCACTAGTTCATTTTTATTGCTGAATAATATTGTGTGTATGTACCACTATTTGTTTATTAATTCACCTGTTGATGAACATTTGGGTTTTTTTCCAGTTGGGGGCTATTTCAAATAAAGTTACTCTTAACATTTGTTACAAATTTTGTTACAAGAAACTGTCAAAGTATTCTCCAAAGTGGTTGCACCATTTTACATTTCCAACATCAGTGTGTAATGTTCCAGTTTCTGTACATCATTGCCAATACTTGTAATAGTTGGTGTCTTTAATTTTAGCCATTCTAGTGATGGGGTAGTTGTATCTTATTGAGGTTCTAATTTGTTTTTCATTAATAAATAATGATATTGAGCGTCTTTTCATGTGCTTATTTGCCATCAATATATCTTCTCTGGTGAAGTGTCTGTTCAAATCCTCTGCCCATTTTATGTATTGGGTTGTCTTCTTATCATTGAATTAGAAAATTACTTTACATATGCTGGATACTAGTCCCTTATCAGATATGTAATTTGCAAAAATTTTTTCTAAGCCTATGGCTTGTTTTTTCTTCTCTTAGCACTGTTTTTCAAACTGCAAAAGTTTCCAATTTTGATTATGTCTAATTTATCAAATTTTTCTTTTATGGATCTTGCTTTTTTCTGCCCTCTCAAAGAAATCTTTGCTTAACCCAAGGTCTCAAGACTTTCTCCGATTTTTTTCTAGAAATTATATAGTTTTCATTTCTATGTTTAGGTCTATGATCCACTTTTACAGAATTTTTATATGTGCAAGGTATGGATCAAAGTTTTGTTTATTTGGTTGGTTTTGGGTTTTGTTTATTGATATTGTTGCTATTGTTTTTGCATATAACTATCCAAATTGTTTTAGCATTGTTAGGTTAAAAAGATCATATTTTCTCCACTGACTTGACTTTGCACTTTTGTCAAAAATCAATTGACCACACACATAGGCGTCTATTTCTGGACTCTCTGTTCTGTTCTACTTGTCTATCTTTATGCCAATACTATGGCTATATAGTACCTCTTTAAATAAGCTAGAGTAAGTCTTCCAAATTTGTTGTTTTTGAAAGTTCTTTTGGTTATTCTGGGTCATCTGCATTTCCATGGGAACTTTAAAATTAGTTTGTCCATGTCTACAAAAAATGCCTGCTAGAACTTTGATTGAGATTGTACTGAATCTACAGATCAATCTGGGGAGAACTGACATCTTAATATTGAGTTCAGTCCATGAACAAGACATATATCTACATTTATTTAAATCTTCTTTAATTTCCATCAGTGATGTTTATTAGTTTTAATTGCATAGATCATCCATATTCTTTGATAGATTGATTCCTCAATATTTCATATTTTATGATATTGTGACTGAGAATATTTCCTTTCAATTTCCAATTGCTCATTGCTAGTATATAGAAATTTAATAGATTTTTGTATATTGATCTTGTATCCTGCAATGTTGCCAAACTCACTTATTAGTTCTACTGTTTGTTATAGAAATCACAGGATTTCCTACATAGATGAGCATGTTATCTGCAAAAAAATGAGTTTTATCCCTTCCTTTCTAATATGGATGCTTTTTATTTCTCCGTTTTTTTGAATTGATTGCACTGACTAGAATCTTTGGTGCAACATTGAATGGGAAAGGTGAGAGCAGTCTTGTTCTTGATCTTAGGGGAAAAGCATTCAGTATTTCACTATTAAGTATGATGTTAGCTTTAAGTTTTTTTCATCAATTCCCTTTATCAAGTTGTAACCAATGCTTTTAATTTTAAAAGTAATACAGTGGAATATTCCCGTCACTGTGGTGGAGTGAGTATTCTGAAATGCTTTCTTGCTCCACAAACTATGAAGCTAGATAAATTACAGCAAATTTCCTTATGAATGCATAGCTGACCTTGCAAGAAATTTAAAAAAAGTTTATCTCCAGGAGCTAAAATCAGAGTGGCAAGGGACCACAGAAGGCAGAAGCTTGGGGTCATTTTCCAATTCCAGAAACCTTATAGCCTTTGATTTTAAAAGTTAACAGCCTCTTTGGCTGGTGCAGCTCAGTCTCCTTCAGAACCTCTCTTCCTTAAACATTAGTACTTGTCAATGCTCTCTCCTGGCCTCTCTTATTTTGTCACTCCCCGGCTGATCTCATATATTACTATTCCAAGTATCACTTCTGTGCTGATGACATGCAAATCCATATCAACAATACTTTCCTGAACCCCCATCTCTCCTATTCAACCTCTTAAAGGAGGTTTTGACCATTTTGACTTCGATATACTACATGTTCTTCAAACTCGTGTCCAAACTGTATTCATCTTTCCCCTGCCTGTGTCTGTTTCTCCTTCTACTTCAAGTATTTGGCACCATCATTTCAGTGTTGTTCATGACTCTCTACCACTCTCACCCTTCCATATTTATGTGATTCTTTTTAGTTCGACCTTCTATGTATCATTTGGGCCCATTTCCTCATTTCCATATTCATTCCCACTACCCTTGTTCAAGTCATCATTTTTTCACCTGAACTACTGCAATAGCCTCCCACCCAGTTCTCTGCAACAAATCCAGCTTTCCCTGGTCTATCCTTCATACTGCTACCAGAGTCATAAGTTACAAACTGCTGTTGCTATCTATTGGACACATAATAAAGTTTAATCCCCTCAAGCTGACATATAATGTGCTGTGTTATTTGGGCCTTCACTACTTCTTCACTACTTCTCAAGCTTCATCTTTCCATTCCATACTATATATATAAATTCAAGTCATCTTGAATTTCCTGAACCTTCTACGCCTTCTCCTGCTTTTGTGCATTTACACTTGCTCCTGTCCCTGCTCACCACCCTCTTGTTTTACCTGGTAACCAAATTCTACATATTCTTCAAGACTCAGATCAAATATTACCTGTAAGAAACATTCCCTGACACTATTTACCTAGTTAGATTCTGTGCCTACGTCCTCCCAGCATATTGCAATATGTCCTCTTACAATATTGCAATAGCTTGTCTATTTGACTTTTGTTACTCCCTATATACTTCGTCAGAGCAGAATCTTTAGCATAGTAACGATCCAAAAATGAATATTTTAAATTAATTAATTAATGAAAGTTGACTTCTTGACCACTTCAGAGACAGAAATACTGTTGCAAAGCAGGAGTGGGATATTAATTCAACAATACTTTGTTGAAGATTTACTTCTGACTTAGAGGTTGGCAACATGGAGATGAATAAGATACAGGCTTTGCCCTCAAGGAGCTCATCATCCAGTAGAAAATGAGAAGAAGAATGGGGCTATGGCAGGGAAAAGTCCAGGCTCAGTGAGAGAAGCACAAAGTGTTTAACAAGTACTAATGATTCTTAAATAGAGCAAATGAGAATAGAACACTGTTGGACTGGGTTTTTTTTTTCCCAACCTCTAATCTACTCTTCTAAAAATGTTTCCTGACTACACATACTTGGAAAGAAAAATGTCCCCTAAAAGCAAGCACTACCAGGAAGCCAAAAGCAATTTGGAATGCAATGTATTAACTACTCTGAGATTCATTACCAGAAAGCGAAGGATTGAAGTAGGGAAGGCTGGAGAAAAGGAAAAGAAGGAGAAAGACAAAGAGTGGAAGAAAAAGATATTCAGTAAGAAGTCGACAGAATCTGTTATTTGGTATCATTTTCCCCCAAAACACAAGACCCAGGTTTTTTATCTGATTTTTCTGATAGTTATGTTCATCAAGTCCAAGTTAGACAGAGAACAACTAGGGAGGCTAGATTTAGTTTTATTTTCTGGGAAGAATATGGTTTGAGGGATGTTGTTTCTCCACATGTATCTAAATTCTTGCTCCAAGTTAAACAGCACTTAACTTGCACTTTCCCATTCAAATTATGTTTTGCAGCAAATTTTATTTCTCACAAAAATCTATTTCTC
Organism: Homo sapiens; assembly: GCF_000001405.40. NCBI lineage: Eukaryota > Metazoa > Chordata > Mammalia > Primates > Hominidae > Homo > Homo sapiens. Next base: position 152,596,739 of record NC_000023.11, read on the forward strand.
TCTGATTTCCGCTTAAAGCCTTTGTTTTCTTAAAATTGCATTCGGAGAAATTTCATTTTTCTACTTGACTCTATTACTCAACTTCTTAAACTTGTGAGTCTGATTTTAGTAAACTTAAAATTGCAATTTTTTTTTAGGTTTTTTTTTTTTTTCAAGATGGAGTCTCACTCTGTCACCCAGGCTGGAGTGCAGTGGCATGATCTTGGCTCACTGCAACCTCTACCTCCTGGGTTCAAGCGATTCTCCTGCCTCAGCCTCCCAAGTAGCTGGGATTGCAGGCGCCTGCCACCACACCCAGCTAATTTTTGTATTTTTAGTAGAGACAGGGTTTTGCCATGTTAGCCAGGTTGGTCTCGAACTCCTGAGCTCAAGTGATCTGCCCACCTCAGCCTCCCAAAATGCTAGGATTACAGGCGTGAGCCACTGCGCCCGGCCAGAATTGTAACTTTTAAATACTTCTTGTGAAGGATTAATTCACTGAAAACCAAGACCAGTATTGACAGTGGTATGGCAGCTAAGTTTCTGAGTAATTTAAAATTTAATGGTGCTGTAATTGCTTATTTTTTCTGCATAATATGACTAAAATCATAGCAGATATATGTAAAACATGAATAAACTGCAAGTAGCATTGAGAATCTCACAACTTCTGGGCATGAGAGAATACTGGTTCCTCTTTTCATATTCAGGGATGGGAATTGCCAGCGGGCTTCTCACCTTCTAACTACAATTCACAACTACTAGCATCAGAAAGCTTGATACAAAAGGCAGAATTCAAGCAGAGCCCAAAAAACTTCCATCATATATCAGCATCTGACCTATGTACTGGTGTGGGTTGCTTGTGGACTCTGACTTTCTGGTATCTGAATTCTACCTGCCAATCAGCTTGGACATATAGTGCCTGGTTGCATTTCCTTACTTTTCTTAACTCCCCTAGACTTGACTCTTGGCTTGGCTAGAACTGGGATTCTACCATAGTTTTATGTATAACAAGGCTCCCAGGACCCCTGTCACACTGCTGATTATTGTCTACATGACATTATTTCTAGCCATAAGGGAGTAAAATGACCTGAAATGCTCAATTGTACCTTGTAACAAGTGTCCTTGTTGGTTAAGGTATACAACTTCCTGGGCAATCCTTTACCTGTACCTACTCCCACCATGCCATTCTCTGACTAGTTTGCCTGGCTGCCACAGCCACCTCCACTTCTATGGATACCCAACTATCTTTATACCTGGGTAGAATCAGAATTGAGCTTCTAAGTCTAATGACTTTCATCTGAATTATCTTCTCTTTGTCCTTTACTATTTCCTGCATCTTCTAAGATGGAGACACAGTCCATATAGCTGAGATGACATACAGACTCTGCATCAGAGGAGGCAGCCTGTGTCACAGTGTAGTGATTAAGACCATGGATTCTGGAGCCAGACTTCCTGGGCTTGAATCTCAGCTCCCCCTCTTACTTAATGATATTAATTAGGGCAAGTTATTTAATCTCTCATGTCTCTAGTTTCTCATAAGTAAAACAAGGATAATAAATTATGCATACCATATTTGTTGGTATTTAAGGAATAAATGAGAAAAATCATGTAAGTCCCTTAACACAGTAACTGGCAAATAAGTGCCCAATAATTATTAGGTATCATCAATAATATTAACCCAAAGTGTACTCCCACTCTTCATACACCAAGTAGAATGAGTCGATCAAATTCTTCTATGCCAGGCTAGCAGTCAATTTGACTATGAAAAATGACCTGCACAAATGACTGTACCCTAGAAATAGATGAACTTAAGTGACGCTAGATATATTAAGTTGCAGGTAGAAGGTAGGCATAGGCCCTGGAAGGGCCTTTGCTTCAAATATATGCAATAGACTCTGGTAACCCTGAAACAAAATAAGCAAAAGCAAAGCCTCTCAGAGGTTGAGAGATGGCCTTCTAAGGAACCAGGTTATTAGGAAAATTTTTCTCTGAGCATTCCTAGAGCCCCAAGGCCCTAGTGTGTCGTGGGATAGATGGTTAGGATGAAAGCTTCCGTGGAAACACTTAGATTCACTGTGGATTTGAATACTTAAAAAGAAATTATCTCTATTGGCTTTGAGTGTCCCTGAGGCTCCAGCCAATTTTGTGGATGGCAGGTTTATAGAACAAACATCATTCTGTGACCCAAGTCACACTTCTGCTGCTAAACTCAGCAGATCATTGTGGCAACCATTGAGGTCTACCATTAGAGTCTCCCTTTAAGCAAGAACTTCCAGTTCAGCTGCAAAGAGGGCAGTGAGATCACAGCCTCCAGCTTCACTTTTAGGATCTATCTCACTTTCTAAAATGAGACCACACTCTTCTTGGACAGGCCAGAGCCAAGGACTCGCAAAGGCCTAGCCATTTCTGCCCAGCTCAGAATTCTTCTAATGGGAAATTTTTACTCCAGAGCTCTCTGTTAGATTGGGTGAGACTTTGTCAGATAAGCATTGAGATATGAGGCTCTCCTAGCCCAATCATGCTTCATCTCCCTTTTATTTTTCACAGATGCTCCCCAGTAAACCTTTTGTGTTCCTACATCTCTGACCCAGTGTCTGATTTCTGAAGGACCCAAATGACTCAATCATCTACTTGTGACGTAAGCAATTTCACAGGGAACTGATGTACTCATTCAACCTGCTCCTACCCCAACCCCTGCCCCTACACAAACACATATATCACCAGCTGGGCTGTTTGTACAAATAGAAATAATGGGGAAAAAATCCTTCCATACTGATTACTATCCTTAACCAATTAATGATAAGAGATGGGTAAGTGCTTCCTCTCATTCCAGAATTATTCAGACATTTTTGGTAAGCCAGATGGTTCACAAGGTGAAACCACCAGGGAGCCTATAATCAAGTCTGGGTGCACAAAGGCAATAAATGAAAGAAAACATCCTTCCTGAGACATGGACTCTCTGCATACAATGCCATACTGTTTTGGTTCTGTAATTCCCCGCCCTTCTCAGCAAAATCCCAAGGGACTTCAGTATCCAGCTCAGCATTGTCCATCAGGACGATATCTTAGTCTAGGTGAACATGACTAGCAGCTGCAAGCTCTACTCTAGTATCTTTAGAATGACCAGTAAGATTTGAAAACAGAAAAAGGGAAAGTGAAAATATGCAATTGACCTGGAAAAGTGGGATCTCTAAGTCTTATCATTGTGTCTGATGGGTTATAAAGGACTTCCCAAATGGTGTCCTTAATTACAAATGGGACCCTTTCACACATATGAAGAGTCCAGAAAATTCTTTGTCCACCCTGTTTGTTTGTTTCTACTGTTCTTCACTCACAGTCTTATTCAAAAAAGACTCCTAGTTCAGAAAAAAAAGCAGGGGAGCTTCTACGACTAAATTATCCTGGATCTTCAATCCATCTACAGCCAGTATAAAGTGGTTGTGACAACATAAGGTGTTGGGACATTCAGCTGCACATTTTACTCTTCTATGCTTTACTCCTTTTACCTGAGACCCTCCCTCCCACCACCCCCAAGCCAAGATGCTAGACGTGAGTAACCCATGGCTTTGGGGGAAGTTGTCAGAATGTAACCAGAAAACAAAGGTTCCAAAATCTTTGCTCTTGAGTTTTCAAAAGCCAGAGGTTCAGGTGTAAGACAGAGAAGATTTGGAAGCATTTGTAACCTAGTTTTCTTCTCCTGCCGCAGATTCTGCAGACTGGGGAGGAAAGAAGGGAGAAACCACAGAGAAAGAAATGGAGTCAGAAGGGAGGGAACATTGAACTTCGCTGGAGAAAACTCCATCAGCGGCCAGCAACAGAGAGCCATGTGCCAAGGAGCCCATTGATCAAATATCTAGCAGAAACAATTCCTGGCTACAACCATTCAGCAGTCCAGGCCCCTCTTAAACTCCTGGACACCTGGGCAACATGAGATGAGAAGGAACTGTCTTGAGATCTCCCGTGGAGGTCTCAACAGGAAGAAGTTGGTAGCTATATGGAGAGTGCTGCCAGATAGGATCTGCTCCTCAGTAGAGGTGCACAACAAATTCCTGGAAGGAAGTGGGTCAGGGGAATACATTCTCTGTCCTCACTCTCCTCCTACTCTTCCCTTTGATTTCCTATCAGTACCTTCCACTGGCTGAACCCAACTAGAAGCCAGAGGGCAAGGGAGTCCATTGAAGCAACCTATGCAGGTCAGAGCAGGGTAAGTGGGAGATGCAGAGGGTGGGGATAACAATGCAAAATATTCAGCATAGACAACTTGATAAGAACTTCCTGGAAAACATTACTCCCTTTGAGAATTTGATAAAAACTATAAACCCTTACAACAAAAAAATGCAAGTAAGCATAAACATTCGATTTTGCATGACATTTCAAGAATTTTGCAGCCCCTGTGCCCTCTCCATAGTGTACCTAGGAGTTTCATGATACCAAGTTAAGAACCCCGTGCTCTGGAGAGCTGTTTGTGGAAACGAATGTCATCTTGTTATGGTTGTTATTTCCTTAGCTTTTTTTTTTTCCTTCTCTGTTTCCAGCAACTTAGATATCTCAGAGGAAAGGTGACACCTTAGGCCAACTATAAGTGAACCAATGGGCCTATTCTTTACTCAGACCTGCCCAGTCTGAGTGTAATACAGAGTCAGATAGCAGAGCTCAGAAGGAGAAGCAGGCAGAAAATGTGGGGCTGGCCATGTGATGCTGCGTTGCCTAGCAACACTGGCTGAGAGGCTCTCCTTCCTGAGCCTCTCACCAGAGCAGCAGAAAGAATTGGTTTAAAATGAATGCGAGTGTGTGTGAGAGAGAGAGAGACAGAGAGACAGAGAGAGAAGGGAGATTAGAAACAGAGAAAGGGAGAGGGGCAGAGAGAGAGAGTGAAATTGAGAGACAGACAATGGCAAGCAAAAGAGAGAGTTTAGTAAGCAAGAAAAAAGTGGAGAATAAAAACATTTCAGTAAAATGGAAAAAAATTGAGAGGTTCAGAGGGTGGACTGTGAGATGAACTCAGTTAATGGAAAAATGAAGAGGAACAAAGAATAAATAGAGAGATGTCCAAAGGAGGGAGTGAGTGGGTGGTGGAGTCAGTAGGGGATCGGGGGTGATAGAGCCAGCAGCAGTGGTCCCTCCTCACTGATGGCTCCCAGGTCCCCTCACTGATGGCTCTTGTGTTACCTTCACTTCACAGTGAAAGTTACCCAGTTTCTTTTTCTAATTGTATTGTGTTATAAGTCAAATCCTCAAATGCTGCAGCAGCACCAGGAATTCTTTCTTAAGCACTACAGGGTCCACAGCATTGCTCAGCTCAGTAAAGATCCTCTTGTATAATAACCACAGTGATGACTCAGCCCTGGAGCACAGCTCTTTACAGTTTACCAAGTGCTTTCACAGCTGCCACCTCATGGGACCCTTACTGCAGCTCTGAGAGGTAGACAATTCAGGGATGGCCATGACTTTCACTCCACACATGGAGAAACTGAGGCTCTGAGAAGTGGAATGACAGGACCCCATTTAGCAAAGTTAGATTCAGGATGTGTGCCCGGGGTCCTGAACCCACGTTTCAGGGATAGGTCTGGGGTGCCGATCTGCCTGGACTTTCCAAATAAACCTGCTGGCAAGAAAGGCACTTGCTCTCCACCACCCGCTGAGGTGGGAGCTGAAGAGCTACTGAAAAGTCTCAAGCCAGCAGGGGGTGCTCTTTCATCTTCTTTCCCCATGAAGTGTAAACGTGTCCATCTGTGCGTCCCAGAGCAGAGCTTGATTGGCCCAGTGTGCAGCCAGCTTCTAACAACCCTTTGAGATATCCCTGGGCACCCATATTCTCAGGAAAATCTTGCCTCTTTCATTTTCAGAACAATCACCAATGATTGCAAAACACCTTTTGGACAGGGGTAGGAATATTTGAGAGAAGGTAGCAATCAGTCTCTAGGGCCAGAGGGGCTGAAGGATTAGGCAGAGAAAAGCTGGCAACTGAGTCCCATGGAGCAGCTGAATGGTTTCTCTTTCTTCTCAATTCTCTCCAATGCCTGAAGGCTAAGACATAGCAGAAATGAACTCGAGTCCTCTGTTTGGCCCCAAGCTTCTCCCCTGCCAAAGTCTCCCCCTTGTCCATTCCATCCTGTGCTTGCTGACAGATAAGTTTCCAAAAAAATGACATTCACCTGCTCAGCAACCTTCAATGATTTCTTCACTCTTTATGGTATTAATTTTATCACACTGGCATTGAAAAGTCACTTAATATTGCCCAAAATTCTCAGTTTCATATCTGCATATTTCCTACATAAACCCAAGTGTCTAACAAACTGGTCTACTACACAGGGGAAAGGTTAAGATGTTTTGATGTTCTCCAAATTCATGGCTCAATCTTGTGAAGCGATTTAGCAACCAACTTGCCTTGTATTCCTCTGCCTGGAGGGTGACCATTGGGAGAATAAAGAGGAGGTAGAGTGATTGCCAGAGTTAGAAATAACTTTCTGTAGAGTTGAGAATGTACAGTTGGGAATGCTAAATCCTAACAATGCTAAAGTTAGAGAAAATGAATCACTAAGCCCCCTATTTTCAGATGTTTATGACTTCAAGGAATATAAATGAGTACACATTTTAGAAGTCTAACAGGGCAGAATTCTCAGACAATAGAGTTTTGTTTTCATTGTGCAGCACATGTAGTCAAGTCCCATGACTCACATCTTGTAGTGAGATCAATTTTGAGGTGTGAATTTTAGATTTTTCAGAAGCCTAAACAACGGATCATGGTTGTTTATTGAGAAGATAAAAAGCCATTGATCTCATTTCCAAGTCTACAAATAAAACAAGCTTAAAATTATTCCTGCATCCACTCAAGAGGCAGTTAAAGGTTGTTTGTTCTGTCTCTCTCACTTAACATCTACTTAGTTATTGATTCTAGTCAATAGTCTAGTGTCCTCCACTCCTCCTGCCTTATTTTAGACCCCATCATTTTCTTAAAATAAAATATTTCATATATATGTAAGGAATACATTATAGTAAAATGAAAACCTGCATACCCATCACCAAATATGGGAGCTAAAATATGATCGAAGCCTCTGAAACCCACTTATGCTCTCCCTGAGGTCCCAGAGGTAACCACTATCTTGAATTTCGTTAATCATTCACTTGTTTTTCTTTATATGTTCATTTCATAGGTATTTTCCTTTAAGCAATATGTTATTTCATTTTGTCTCTTTTGGGAACTAATACAAATGCAGTCACACTATATGTCTTATATTTTGGCTTCTTCCTTTTTGCTCCCAACTTGGTTTATGAGATTTGTCTATGTTGATGTGTGTAGCTGCAGTAATTATTTTTCACTGCAAAATAGTTATCCATGATATGAAAATTCTACACTTTATTAATTCACTTGTTGATAAACATGTGGGTTGTTTCCAGTTTTATGCTTTTGCAAAGGATGCTGCTATGAACATTCTCATGCATATCTCTTAATACCCATGTACAAGAGTTTTTCTAGGGCAGTGGTTCTCAACTCCATGTAATTTTGCCCACCTCCAGAGAACATTTGTCAATGTCTGGAGACATCTTTTGTTATTATGACTTAGAGTGGGGGTGCTACTAGCATCTAGTGGGATAGAGGTCAGGGATGCTGTTAAACATCCTACAATGCTTAGAATGCAATCCACAAATGTCTTAATTTGTTTTGTGCAGCTATAACGGAATACTTGAAACTGGGTTAATTATAAAGACCAGAAATTTATTGACTCATGGTATTGAGACTGGGAAGTCCAAGATCAAGGGGCCACATCTGGTGAGGGCCTCCTTGCTGTGTCATATGGGGGCAGAAGGCATCACGTGGCAAGAGAGAGATGGTGAGGGAGGAAGGGAGAGAGAGAGAGAGAGAGAGAGAGAGAGAGAATAGAAGAGGGGCAATCTCATCCTTTTATCAGGGATCCACTCCTGTAATAACTGCAGTCATCCATTCATGAGGGCAGAGCTCTCATGATCTAATCACCTCTTTAAAATCCTACTTCTCCACACTGCTGCATTGGGGATCAAGTTTACAACACATAAATTTTGAGGGACACATTTAAACCGCAGCAACAGCAAAGAATTATCTCCCTCTAAATATTAATAATCCCAAGGTTGAACAACTGATCTAGAGCATATGCCTAGATGTGAAATTTCTAGGTCATTGAGTTTTCTTAAGTTCAACTTTACTAGTTAATGTCAGTTTACTTGCAAAGTGGTTGTACTAATTACACTCGCAATGACAGAGGATAAAAGCTCTACTTGTTCCATATTCTCACCAACTCAATATTGTTACCTTTATTACTTCTTTTTTTTGATAAGAATAGTCTTTATTAAGTAATAACCATCACAATGGAGAAGAGAGTCCAGTGTAAACTCAGCTCAACTTCCATTTTTGCAGAGGTGACTGGGTGTTTTTTTTTTAATTTTGTTTTTGCTGTTTTTATAATTTCAAGTTTTATTTTAGATATAGGGGTACATGTGCAGTTTTCTTACATGGATTTATTACGTGATGCTGAGGTTTGTGGTAGAAATCCCATCACCCAGGCATAGCGCCCAATAGGTAGTTTTTCAGCCCACACCCACTCTCTGCCTTCCCTCTCTAGTTGTCCCAAGTGTCTATTGTTCCCATGTTTATGTCCATATGCACTCAATGTTTAGCTCCTACTTATAAATGAGAATGTGTTATTTAGTTTTCTGTTCCTGCATTAATTTACTTAGGATAATGGCCTCCAGCTGCATGGATGTTGCTTCAAGCAACATTATTTTATTCTTTTAATGGCTGCATAGTATCCCATGGTGTATATGTTCCACATTTTCTTTATTTAATTCTCCATTGATGGACACCTAGGTTGATTCTATGTCTTTGCTACTGTGAATAGCACTGTGATGAACTTGCAACTGCATGTGTCTTTTTGGTAGAACCACTTATTTTCTTTTGGATATATACCCAGTAATGGGATTGCAGAGTCAAATTGTAGCTCTGTTTTAAGATCTTTTAGAAATCTCCAAACTGATTTCTACAGTGACTGAACTAATTTACATTCTGATCAACAGTGTATAAGCATTCACTTTTCTCTGCAGCTTCGCCAACATCCGTTATTATTCAACCTTTTTTTATTTTTTTGTTATACTTTAAGTTCTAGGGTACATGTGCACAACGTGCAGGTTTGATACATAGGTATATACATGTGCCATGTTGGTTTGCTGCACCCATCAACTCATCATTTACTTTAGGTATTTCTCCTAATGCTATCCCTCCCCCCAGCCCCTCACCCCCTCAGGCCCAGGTGTGTGATGTTCCCTGCCCTGTGTCCAAGTGATCTCATTGTTCAATTCTGACCTATGAGTGAGAACATGTGGTGTTTGGTTTTCTCTCCTTGTAATGGTTTGCTGGGAATGATGTTTTCCAGCTTCATCCATGTCCCTGCAAAGGACATGAACTCATCCTTTTTTATGGCTGCATAGTATTCCATGGTGTATATATGCCACATTTTCTTAATCCAGTCTATCATCGATGGACATTTGGGTTGGTTCCAAGTCTTTGCTACTGTGAATAGTGCCACAATAAACATATGTGTCCATGTGTCTTTATAGTAGCATGATTTATAATCCTTTGGGTATATACCCAGTAATGGGATGGCTGGGTCAAATGGTATTTCTAGTTCTAGATCCCTGAGGAATCACCACACTGTCTTCCACAATGGTTGAACTAATTTACACTCCCACCAACAGTGTAAAAGCGTTCCTATTTCTCCACATCCTCTCCAGCATCTGTTGTTTCCTGACTTTTTAATGACTGCCATTCTACCTGGCGTGAGATGGTATCTCATTGTGGTTATCTCATTGTGGTTTTGATTTGCATTTCTCTGATGACCAGTGATGATGAGCATTTTTTCATGTGTCTGCTGGCTGCATAAATGTCTTGAGAAGTGCCTGTTCATATCCTTTGCCCACTTTTGAAGGGGTTGTTTTTTTCTTGTAAATTTGTTTAAGTTATTTGTAGATTCTGGATATTAGCCCTTTGTCAGACAGATAGATTGCAAAAATTTTCTCCCATTCTCTAGGTTGCCTGTTCACTCTGATGGTAGTTTCTTTTGCCATGCAGAAGCTCTTTAGTTTAATTAGATCCCATTTGTCTATTTTGGCTTTCATTGCCATTACTTTTGGTGTTTTAGACATGAAGTCCTTGCCCATGCCTATGTCCTGAATGGTATTTCCTAGGTTTTCTTCTAGGGTTTTTATGGTTTTAAGTCTAACATTTAAGTCTTTAATCCATCTTGAATTAATTTATTGTATAAGGTGTAAGGAAGGGATCCAGTTTCAGCTTTCTACATATAGCTAGCCAGTTTTCCCAGCACCATTTATTAAATAGGAAATCCTTTCCCCATTTTTTGTTTTTGTCAGGTTTGTCAAAGATCAGATGGTTGTAGATGTGTGGTGTTCTTTCCGAGGCCTCTGTCCTGTTACGTTGGTCTATATATCTGTTTTGGCACCACTACCATGCTGTTTTGATTACTGTAGCCTTGTAGTATAGTTTGAAGTCAGGTAGCATGATGTCTCCAGCTTTGCTGTTTTTGCTTAGGATTGTCCTGGCAATGCGGGCTCTTTTTTGGTCCCATATGAACTTTAAAGTAGTTTTTCCAATTCTATGAAGAAAGTCAGTGGTAGCTTGATGGGGTGGCATTGAATCTATAAATTACTTTGGGCAGTATGGCCATTTTCACAATATTGATTCTTCCTATCCATGAGCATGGAATGTTCTTCCATTTGTTTGTATCCTCTTTTATTTCGTTGAGCAGTGGTTTGTAGTTCTCCTTGAAGAGGTCCTTCACATCCCTTGCAAGTTGGATTCCCAGGCTTTTTATTCCCTTGGTAGCAACTGTGAATGGGAGTTCACTCATGATTTGGCTCTCTGCTTGTCTGTTAACAATGCAGAGGAATGCTTGTGATTTTTGCACACAGATTTTGTATCCTGAGACTTTGCTGAAGTTGCTTATCAGATTAAAGAGATTTTGGGCTGAGACGACGGGGTTTTCTAAATATACAATCATATCATCTGCAAACAGGGACAATTTGACTTCCTCATTTCCTAACTGAATACCCTTTATTTCTTTCTCTTGCCTGATTGCCCTGGCCAGAACTTCCAACACTATCTTGAATAGGAGTGGTGAGAGAGGGCATCCTTGTCCTGTGCCAGTTTTCAAAGGGAATGCTTCCAGTTTTTGCCCATTCAGTATGATATTGGCTGTGGGTTTGTCATAAGTAGCTCTTATTATTTTGAGATGCATTCCATCAATACCTAGTTTATTGAGAGCTTTTAGCACGAAGGGCTGTTGAATTTTGTTGAAAGCCTTTTCTGCATCTATTGAGATAATCATGTGGTTTTTGTCATTGGTTCTGTTTATATGCTGGATTACGTTTATTGATTTGTGTATTTTTTTATTATACTTTAAGTTTTCGGGTACATGTGCACAATGTGCAGGTTTGTTACATATGTATACATGTGCCATGCTGGTGTGCTGCACCCAGTAACTCTTCATTTAACATTAGGTATATCTCCTAATGCTATCCCTCCCCCCTTCCCCCACCCCACAACAGTCCCCTGAGTGTGATGTTCCCCTTCCTGTGTCCATGTGTTCTCATTGTTCAATTCCCACCTATGAGTGAGAACATGCGGTGTTTGGTTTTTTGTCCTTGCCATAGTTTGCTGAGAATGATGGTTTCCAGCTTCATCCATGTCCCTACAAAGGACATAAACTCATCAGTTTTTATGGCTGCATAGTATTCCATGGTGTATATGTGCCACATTTTCTTAATTTAGTCTATCATTTTTGGACATTTGGGTTGGTTCCAAGTCTTTGCTATTGTGAATAGTGCCGCAATAAACATATGTGTGCAGGTGTCTTTATAGCAGCATGATTTATAATCCTTTGGGTATATACCGAGTAATGGGATGGCTGGGTCAAATGTTATTTCTAGTTCTAGATCCCTGAGGAATCGCCACACTGACTTCCACAATGGTTGAACTAGTTTACAGTCCCACCAACAGTGTAAAAGTGTTCCTATTTCTCCACATCCTTTCCAGCACCTGTTGTTTCCTGACTTTTTAAAGATTGCCATTCTAACAGGTTTGAGATGGTATCTCATTGTAGTTTGCATATGTTAAACCAGCCTTGCATCCCAGGGATGAAGCCGACTTGATCGTGGTGGATAAGCTTTTTGATGTGCTGCTGAATTCGGTTTGCCAGTATTTTATTGAGGATTTTTGCATCGATGTTCATCAGGGATATTGGTCTAAATTTCTCTTTTTTTTGTTGTGTCTCTGCCAGGCTTTGGTATCAGAATAATGTTGGCCTCATAGAATGAGTTAGGGAGGATTCCCTCTTTTTCTATTGATTGGAATAGTTTCAGAAGGAATGGTACCAGCTCCTCTTTGTACCTCTGGTAGAATTCAGCTGTGAATCCATCTGGTCCTGGACTTTTTTTTGGTTAGTAAGCTATTAATTATTGCCTCAATTTCAGCGCCTGTTATTGGTCTATTAAGAGATTCAACTTCTTCCTGGTTTAGTCTTGGGAGGGTGTATGTGTCCAGGAATTTATCCTTTTCTTCTAGATTTCCTGGTTTATTTGCTTAGGGGTGTTTACAGTATTCTCTGATGGTAGTTTGTATTTCTGTGGGATCAGTGGTGATATCTCCTTTATCATTTTTTATTTTGTCTATTTGATTCTTCTCTCTTTTCTTCATTATTTGTCTTGCTAGTGGTCTATCAATTTTGTTGATCTTTTCAAAAAACCAGCTCCTGGATTCATTGATTTTTGAAGGGTTTTTTGTTTCTCTATCTCCTTTAGTTGTGCTCTGATCTTAGTTATTTCTTGCATTCTGCTAGCTTTTGAATTTGTTTGCTCTTGTTTCTCTAATTCTTTTAATTGTGATGTTAGGGTGTCGATTTTAGATCTTTCCTGCTTTCTCTTGTGGGCATTTAGTGCTATAAATTTCCCTCTACACTGCTTTAAATGTGTCCCAGAGATTCTGTTACGTTGTGTCTTTGTTCTCACTGGTGTCAAAGAACATCTTTATTTCTGCCTTCATTTCATTATTTACCCAGTAGTCATTCAGGAGCAAGTTGTTCAGTTTCCATGTACTTGTGTGGTTTTCAGTGAGTTTCTTAATCCTGAGTTCTAATTTGATTACACTGTGGTCTGAGAGACAGTTTGTTGTGATTTCTGTTCTTTCATATGTGCTGAGTGCTTTACTTCCAATTATGTGGTCAATTTTAGAATAAGTGTGATGTGGTGCTGAGAAGAATGTATATTCTGTTGATTTGGAGTGGAGAGTTCTGTAGATGTCTATTGGGTCCACTTGGTGCAGAGCTGCGTTCAAGTCCTGGACATCCTTGTTAACCTTCTGTCTCGTTGATCTGTCTAATATTGACAGTGGGGTGTTAAAGTTTCCCATTATTATTGTGTGGCAGTCTAAGTCTCTTTGTAGGTCTCTAAGGACTTGCTTTATGAATCTGGGTACTCCTATATTGGGTGCATATATATTTAGGATAGTCAGCTCTTCTTGTTGAATGGATCCCTTTACCTTTATGTAATGGCCTTATTTGTCTCTTTTGATCTTTGTTGGTTTAACGTCTGTTTTATCCGAGACTAGGATTGCAATCCCGCTTTTTTTTTTTTTTTTTTTTTTTTTTTTTTTTTTTTTTTTTGCTTTCCATTTGCTTGGTAGATCTTCCTCCATCCCTTTATTTTAGCCTATATGTGTCTCTGCCCATGAGATGGGTCTCCTGAATACAGCTCACTGATGGGTCTTGACTATACAATTTGCCAGTCTGTGTCTTTTAATTGGGGCATTTAGCCCATTTACACTTAAGGTTAACATTGTTATGTGTGAATTTGATCCTGTCATTATGATGTTCACTGATTATTTTGCCCATTAATTGATGCAGTTTCTTCATAGCATCCATGGTCTTTACAATTTGGCATGCTTTTGCAGTGGCTGGTTCCGGTTGTTTCTTTCCATGTTTAGTGCTTCCTTCAGGAGCTCTTGCAAGGCAGGCCTGGTGGTGACAAAATCTCTCAGCATTTGCTTGTCTGTAAAGGATATTATTCACTTATGAAGCTTAGTTTGGCTGGATATGAAATTCTGGGTTGAAAATTCTTTTCTTTAAGAATGTTGAATATTGGCCTCCACTCTCTTCTGGCTTGTAGAGTTTCTGCCAAGAGATCCGCTGTTAGTCTGATGGGCTTCCCTTTATGGGTAACCCGACCTTTCTCTCTGGCTGCCCTTAACACTTTTTCCTTCATTTCAACCTTGGTGAATCTGACAATTATGTGTCTTGGGGTTGCTCTTCTCAAGGAGTATCTTTGTGGTGTTCTCTGTATTTCCTGAATTTGAATGTTGACCTGCCTTGCTAGGTTGGGGAAGTTCTCCTGGATAATATCCTGAAGAGTGTTTTCCAACTTGGCTCCATTCTCCCCATCACTTTCAGGTACACCAATCAGATGTAGATTTGGTCTTTTCACATAGTCCCATATTACTTGGAGGCTTTGTTCATTTCTTTTTACTCTTTTATCTCTAACCTTGTCTTCTCGCTTCATTTCATTAATTTGATCTTCAATCACTGGTACCCTTTCTTCCACTTGATCAAATCGGCTGTTGAAGCTTGTGCATGTGTCACGAAGTTCTCAGGCCATGGTTTTCAGCTCCATCAGGTCATTTAAGGTCTTCTCTACACTGTTTATTCTAGTTAGTCATTCATCTAATCTTTTTTCAAGGTTTTTATCTTCCTTGTGGTGGGCTCGAACATCCTCCTTTAGCTCGGAGAAGTTTGTTATTACCGACCTTCTGAAGCCTACTTCTGTCAACTCGTCAAAGTCATTCTCCATCCAGCTTTGTTCCATTGCTGGTGAGGAGCTGCGATCCTTTGGAGGAGAAGAGGCACTCTGGTTTTTAGAATTTTCAGCTTTTCTGCTCTGGTTTGTCCCCATCTTTGTGGTTTTATCTACCTTTGATCTTTGATGTTGGTGACCTACAGATGGGGTTTTGGTGTAGATGACCTATTTGTTAATGTTGATGTTATTCCTTTCTGTTTGTTAGTTTTCCTTCTAACAGTCAGGTCCCTCAGCTGCAGGTCTGTTGGAGTTTTCTGGAGGTCCACACCAGACCCTGTTTGCCTGGGTATCACTGGCGGAGGTTGCAGAACAGCAAATATTACAGAACAGCAAATATTCCTGCCTGATCCTACCTCTGGAAGCTTCGTCCCAGAGAGGCAGCCACCTATATGAGGTGTCTGTTGGCCCCTACTGGGAGATGTCTCCCAGTTAGGCTACACAGGGGTCAGGGACCCACTAGAGGAGGCAGTCTGTCTGTTCTCAGAGCTCAAACGTCATGCTGGGAGAACCACTGCTCTCTTAAGAGCTGTCAGACAGTGACTTTTAAGTCTGCAGAAGTTGTCTGCTGCCTTTTGTTCAGCTATGCCCTGCCTACAGAGGTGGAGTCTAGAGGCAGTAGGCCTTGTTGAGCTGTGGTGGGCTACACCCAGTTTGAGCTTCCCAACTGCTTTGTTTACCTACTCAAGCCTCAGCAATGGCAGACGCCCCTCCCCCAGCCAGGCTGTGGCCTCGCAGTTTGATCTCAGACTGCTTTGCTAGCAGTGAGCAAGGCTCTGTGGGCATGGGACCCGCCGAGCCAGGCACAGGTGAGAATCTCCTTGTCTGTCGGTTGCTAAGACCTTGGGAAAAGCACAATATTTGGAGAGAAGCTTCTCATTTTTCCAGGTAGTCTGTCACGGCTTCCCTTGGCTAGGAAAGGGAAATCCCCTGACCCCTTGCACTTCCCGGGTGAGGCGACACCCCGCCCTGCTTCAGCTCACCCTCCAAGGGCTGCACCCACTGTCCAACCAGTCCCAGTGAGATGAACCAGGTACCTCAGTTGGAAATGCAGAAATCACCCGTTTTCTGCGTCGATCATGCTGGGAGCTGCAGACCAGAGGCTGTTCCTATTCAGCCATCTTGGCTTTTTTTTTTTTTTTTTTTTTTTTTTTTTTTTTTTTTTTAAGATGGAGCCTAGCTCTGTCACCCAGGCTGGAGTGCAGTGGCACAATCTCCACTCACTGCAAGTTCTGCCTTCCAGGTTCACGCCATTCTCCTGCCTCAGCCTCCCGAGTAGCTGGGGCTACAGGTGCCCGCCACCACACCTGGCTAATTTTTTGTATTTTTAGTAGAGACGGGGTTTCACCGTGTTAGCCAGGATGGTCTCGATCTCCTGACCTCGTGATCCGCCCACCTCGGCCTCCCAATATTATTCAACTTTTTATGTAATAGTCATTCTTACTGGTGCCTTTACTATTTCTTGCCTGAACTTTTGTTCCTGCATAGCATCCTAACTTTTCTGTTATTTTCATATCTTTTCCCACAGATACATTCTTCATAATATTGCCAAACTGAACCCCCTAAAACCTAACTCTGATCATGTCAAATTCCTATGAGGAAACTTTTATGGATTCTACTATATACAAAATAAACCTGGCATTGAAGATTTACACAAAGGCTTCACTAACTCTGCAAAACTAGTAATACCAACTTATTTGATGGCACTTAAACAAGCTCTGTGCTCTGTATAATTTTTGTTGTTGAAGTTTTGCCCTTTTTTACAGTCGTTTGTTCATTCAGTCAGTTAATAATCATTTACTTTACTGAGCACCTAATATGTGCCAAGCTTGATTCTAAATTCTGGAAATGTAGCAATCAACAAGACAGCCAATATAGCTCTCGGCCTGCTCCTCTCTTGGCTTCCCCCACCCTCAAACCCTCTAAGCTAAGAATCACCTCCCAAGATTAATCCCAGGAAGTTTCCAGAGCCTGGAGACTAGTGTTTTCCATGGTCCAACCAATCCTTGTTCCTCATCTATCAGTATTTATCTTTTAATCAAGATTTGTGATGTGGGCATCCAAAGGGGCTGCAGGAGAGAAGAGCTCCAGAAGAGTGAGAAAAGGAAAGCTCAGCTCTTTCTTGCCTGTCCTACTAGAGTTGGCCTTGGCAGGCTCTCTAGGGGTCTTTCTTGAGTGCTTTCAGTCCCTCCTCTTGCGTTCTGCCTTGTGTTCTTGATGACTATCAGGCAGACCTGGAAAAGGTTATGGTGAGGGAACAGGATAGGAGTGTCATGGCTTTCCTTGTTCCTGGGCCCAGTGGAGCTGTGTGGAGCCTTGGGCTCTAAGTAGGGAGTTTCTAGCCTGATCTAGGTCCAAACTGAGAGAGGAAGGCATAAAGAGGCTTCCCATTGTTGTGTCTCATTTCAAACACTCTTTTGCACCCCACAAGAAGAAAACTGCCACCTTTAACTCCATGGTTTGGTGGGGGAAGTGAAAGAAAATTTGACAAATAGGCCCCATGGAAAGGCTGCCAACTTTTGCATTATATTTTCCCTGCTGCAAGCCTGTTTTTCTGTACAACAAGAGTAATGACAAGTAGAGACTACACTTCTTTAAAACTCTTTTTTGTTTCCTGACTTTTAGTTTTAGAGACTACTTTGCAAGTCTCCTCACAGCTGCACTAGAACTAACAACTTTGTCTTTCAGTTAATGTGGGCTTCAGGGTTCCTCAGTGTGGCTGAGAAAAGTCAGTGACATTGATGCTACTTTTTACATTACTTAGTGTACCCTAAACCATGTGGAAGTTGGCCTGCTTGGGCCCCAAACTGTATAGGCCTACTTGAAATCAGTCTCTGTTACGTATCCCGACTACTCAGACTTCCAAGAGTTATGCACATGTTAAATTCAAATTTGTTTCTTCCTCTCTTAAAATTCATTGATAAATTCAAGGATTCCTTTTGGGGTGGTCTCTTGCCAAGCTATATCTACAAGACAGGTCTCTGTGAGGCCTTTACAGCAACCTAGTTGACTCACACCCAATTTTAGATAAAAAATAAGAGGATTTTACTGTTTTTTTTTTTTTAGCTCTACGTTTAGCTCTGTATTTTGCTAAACAAGTTTTCAAAATCCTGGAAAACAATTTTATTACTTTTTCCAAGGCATCATTAGGACCACATTGAAGTCCAAGAGAGATGGGAAACACTCATTTCTTCACTCAATCAATAAAAATTTATTAAAAGACCACCTATCATGTACCTGGCCTTGATCTTGCAATCAGAGGCTCAAAAAACAAGGCATCGTCTCTGACCCAAGATTTGCTCAAAGTCTGTTGTATAGCACAAGCTCTAATGGCTAGCTCAATGTATCTTGGCTAACAGAGTAATGACCAGAGTTCATTTGGATAAGTGCCCTATACTTCAAAGTGAGCACATAGGAGAATGAGGTAAGCTACATTTTGAAAGATGAGGAGTTACTTAGAGAGAGAAGTAATGACAGGCAAGAGGACCTCCAAGCAAAGGGGACAGCAATTTCAAAGACAGTCATAGAGACATGAAAGGCTATTATGCACTTGGAGTGTTGCCAGTGTTTGAGTGTGACTGCAGTGAAAAGATTTTGTAAGGTGGAATGACGGAAAATGAGGGTAAAGAGGCAGGCAGGGATTTTGGATGCCAAAGTCAGTAGTTTGGAGTTATCCTTAAGGCTAGAAGAAGCCATCAGAAAACTTTAACTAGGGAAGTAATATGTATTTTAGAAATATCATTCTGAAAATACTGTGGAGGAAAGATCAGAGAGGGGCAGCAATGCAGTGCAGAAACTTATGTGAGAGATGCTGAACTGCTGATCTAAGATAGTTGGTGAAGGCACATAGAGAAGAACATAGAATTTAGAATCAACAATTGGATGTGGTTCATTACTGAATGTGGGAATGAAAGGAGATGTTGAAAATATAGGAAAATAAGTGGTAGGTGATGTATTTACAACTTAGTAAGTCTGCATAGAAACAGAAAAATGCAAGTAGAGAGGAGAGTTTCACCAAACCAAATCAATAAGGAGATGAGGGGGAAAAAGAAGAGAGGACAGATGGGCAAGAAATAGAGAGGTCAAGGGATGGAGATCTCAATAAGATCAAAGAACAGGTGTAGAGGGAATAGGAGAATGAGAGAGCAGGATGGCTAGGAGGTTGTAATCCAAAATTGATGTTTTAACTTATGCTGTCAGAGGTAGAGTAGTTTCAGGTGAAGAATAAACCCAAACTGTATGTGTAGATGAGTGTGGCTACTACAGGGTAGAGAAGTTCACTAGAAATGAAAAGGTCAAACTGCTGGGTGGTTGATGTGGATACTGAAGTCCTCTGAAAGATGGTAGGATGGAGCAGAGAGAAAGACCATGAGCCAGAGCACAAGCCAGAACACCAAGCCCATGCTAAGTCAGAATAACTAGGAGGTCAGTGGATGCTAGCATGAAGGAGGCATAGAAGATGACATAGTGGAATGGCTTAAACCTCAAATGGGCAGGTATTTTTTGGCCTAGAAGCAACAGAGGATTGAGGAAAACCCACCTCTTTTCTGGCCCTAAGGTATTTGGCATATGAGAGAACAGAGTCTCCACTAGAGAGGACTTCAGGGTAAGCTATGTCTTCAGTGAATAATGAGGTTGCAGTTAAGGCCTGAAAATTAAGGGATCATTCAGAGAAGATGGTGGAGTGGAGGTGTTTCTGGGTTTTCTATTCTGTTCCATTGATGTATTTAACTATCTTGGGCTAAGACTTCACTGTCTTAATTGCTATAGCCCTAAACTGATATTTGGCAGAGCAAATTTCCTCACCACTTTCTTTAGGAGTATCTTGATTGTTCTTGGACCTTTGCTTCTCTGTATAAATTTTCAAATTATATTGAAAAATTCTACAAGATAGAACCTGTTAGAATTTTTATTGTAATTACATGGAATTATCAATAAAATGAAGGAATGTTGACATATTTATAATATTGAGCCTTTCAATCTATGAATATAGTATCTGTATTGAGTTCAGTCTTGTTTGCTGTCTCCCAATATGATTCTGTCATATTCTCTGTGAAAGTCTTACACATTTTAATTAGAGTTTTTTGTTGGTACTTCATATTTTTAATACCACTGTAAATGTTAGTTTTTAATTTCATTTTCTAACTGTTGTTTGAGTTAGTGTTGCTGTCCTTTTTCTAACTTCTTGGAAAAAATAGTTAGCTCATTAATTTTAAGGCTTTCTTCCTTTTCCTTTGATTCTTACTTTAACTGCATCCCACAAATTTTGTTACTTGGTATTTTCATTGTTTTTCAGTTCAAATTATTTTCAAGTACCCATTATTATTTATTCTTTTTATCTGTAATTTATTTTAAATTTACTATTTTCAAACATGTAGAGATTTTTCTAGTTGGCTATTTGTTATTGATTTCTAGCTGAATTCCACTCTGATTAGTGTACACGCTCTGTATGGTTTCAATCCTTTGCAATTTGTTAAGATTTTCTTTCTGGACATAATGTGATCATTTACAAAAATGTTATACATGTGCTGAAAAAAGCTGTACTTTTCAATTGTTTGGCAGATGTAGACATGGATGTACAGATAGATATAGATAATATAGGCAGAGATAGGTAGATGTAGAGGTAGAGGTAGCATATATATATATATCTTTATCAGGTCAAGTTTGTTAATCACTTTTTTTTTCAAGTCTTCCATGTACTTAACTGATTTTTGTTCTGCTTGTTCTATCAATTACTCAGAGAAATGTGTTAAAATACCCAACTGTGATTGCTTATTTCTCCCTATAGTTATGTCAATTTTTGCTCTTGTATTTTTACACCATGTTATTAGGTGACCAAGTTTTAAGACTGTCAGGAGAAATACACACATTACTAATCACAGCTAGTGATTTTAACCCACCACTTTCAGAAACTGAGAGTTCAAACAACAGAAATAAGCAGCGATATCAAAGACATAGTAATAAATCTGAGTGATTAGACAATATAAAACTCTATACCCAACAAAAAATATATACATTACTTAGAGGCACACTGCTGATTTACAGAAGTAGAATATGAATTTAGGAAAAGAGAAAAAAGCCTCAATAAACTCCAAACGATCAATATCATACAAAATAGGCTCTCTGATCATAATGCTAATGCAGAAGTTAATAACATAAAGACAGCATTTAAAAACCAAAATGTACATTTCATTATCCTCAGTAAACTAACGCAGGAACAGAAAACCAAACACTGCATGCTCTCACTTATAAGTGGGAGCTGAATAATGAGAACACATAGACACATGAGAGGGAACAACACACACTGGGGACTGTCGAGAGGGCGGGGAAAGGGAGAGCATCAGTAAGAACAGCGAATGGGTGCTGGGCCTAATACCTGGGTGATGGGTTAATCTGTGCAGCAAACCACCATGGCATACATTTGCCTATGTAAAAAACCTGCGCATGTACCCCAGAAATCAAAATAAAAGCTGATAAAAAATAAATAAATAAAAACCAAGAAGTCTGGAAATGAAATAGCATATTACTAACTTTTGGATGGAAGGAATTCATACGTATTTAGATATTAATAGAAACACTCTGTTAGTACCCAAAAAAGTTTAAAATATGTTTACCCTAAGACCCAGCAATACTACAGCTAGGCACTTAGACTCGAGAATCCCATGCACACATGCCTTGGGAGACACAGCCCAGAAGGCTCAGAGCTGCATTGCTTGTAATTGTCCCAAACTGGACACAATCCAAATTCCAAAGCTAGTTGAATGGGTATACAACATGTGGCATATCCATCAATGGGATACCACACAGGAAAGTACATGAACAAAGTTGGCTACAAGAAACAAATTGGATGAATCTTGCAAACATAACACTGAGTCGAAGAATCCAGACACAAGAATATATACTACATGAGGCGTGCATATAAAAAAAAAACCATACACATTAACTGGGGGGGCTGGTGTTGGGAAAGACCATGAAGGACTTGTGGGAGACTGGTCATGCTTTTTTTTTTTTTTGATGTGGATAGTGGTTACACGAATGCCCACCTCATAATTATTCTTTATGCCATATAGTTACATTCTATGCATTTTTCTGTAGGCGTGTTTTCTTTCACAAAGAAAGTCTTGAATATCGTACAGTACTGTGATAATTCCCACAGTTGAACACCTTTTTAGCACTGAGTTTGAGGGCTAACATGTTCTCCACGCATTAGAGCAGGCTCTGGGTGTGTATGTGTGTTTTGATGGCTATGGGAGTATTTAAATTTGTCTGAAAAAAAGATGGTCTAAGAGGATTTCTCTGGTTTGTGATTGACCCTATCTTTTAAATAACTACAGCTACAGTATAGGCAGGTCCACCTTCATTTGTGACAGAAGGCCCATTCCAGAACTTTTTCATTGGACAAATTAGTTATGGTCAATATCAGTGGTTCTCAAAAGTTAGTGTACAAAGAAATTACTTTATGGAAAAATTATTTTCAACAAGCACATGTAGAGATTCTAATACAGAGGATTCAGGAACATGGGGAATCAACATTGCAGCATCTGATATTTCATTCCATTATGGCTGCATGAATAAAAATGTCTGATCAATTCAGCCCCAAACTAGATTTGGTCATGTGGACAAAAATACCAAGACAGTGGAACATTCCATTGTTAGATGGGTTCAGCCAAACCTTATCAGTGACCCCAGCAGTAGTCTCTGTGTGCAGACTCTGCCTGGAGGACAAGAGGCTGGAGACCAACACAAGGTTTGATGACAGAAAACTGAGGAAATTCCCATTCGGATTGCAGTTCTCTGTTTTCTCCATGAAGTAGGAGAGTAAGGTAATCTGCTATGGGAAAAGGTTCTTAAGGACCATGTACAAGATAAACTATAATTGTGGAGAAAGGATGAGATAGCTAGCTAGGAAACAAAGTAGGAATGCTAAGCAGTGTGGAGGGTCTGGATAAGATTTGTGATTATGAATACACAGTGCCACAGAGACTGTAACAGTGTCTGGCAGCAATGAGAAAATAACTTAAGCCGCCTGAGGCCCAGGCAAGGGTGGGAGACAGGGCATTGGCAGTTGTCCTGGGTAGTTCAGTTGATGCCTACGGTCTGTGGCCTGGGAGCTGTTGGTAGTTGGGGCTGGAAGGCTGGATGTTGAATTCTACCCTAGTTTCAAAGCACTTCAGAGTCTCCTGTTCACTGATGCTGTGGTTTCTGATTCTCTGTCTTCGTGGCCTCTTCCCTCTCCAGAGCATCCACATCATCTGATTCCTACAGGATAGTCCTTTCCTAGTCAGCTGCCTGACCCTTATTGGACAGTATCTCATCTACCCACCTTCTTTGTAGATAGGATCTGTGACTTTTCCCTTCCCTACATTCATCCCAGAATGCCTAGTACAGGGTTGAATACACAAGAGAGGTTTGCAAATGATTTTTTGCAATGATAAGAACCCAAATGCCCTGTTTTATTACTTCCCAAATGACCAGACAAGACCAAGTACATGCTTTTTTGGAAGAAAATGCTAAATGAGTCACAGAGCAGGTCATGAACGAGCCTTCTAATTGGATGCCAATGATGTAATGGCACTCACTGCAGACACAGTTCTGGCTGTTATTCACACTGCTTGCACATATAATTTTTGTTTCACAATTGCAAGAATATTCTTCGGAAAATGCCACCTTTATCAGGTGATTTGTGTTTTCAGTCTTTGGCACTTTGCCATCTAACACTCCTTAAACATCCTAGTAGTGCTCAAAAATGTCTAGCCTTTTCTATTTCTTCTTCCTCCTTCTGAATTCCTAGCTATATTTGCAATGTGTGTGGGAACTGTTTTTCCCTAGAATCCACTGAAAAGATCAGACATGGCCTCTTCCTTCATGAAACTTGTATTCCAGATGATACACAAAAAAATCAAGTAAACAAAATGATCCCAGAAAGTGATGCATGCTCTGCAGAAAATCAAGACAGTAATGTCAAAGAGAGTGAAACTGGGCTACCGTGGGTTAAAAAAAGATGACTGGCATGAAGTAGAAAGCTGAGCCACACACTTATCAAGAGGAAGAGTATTCCAGGTACAGAGAAATAGCAAATGCAAGACCCTGAGATGGGGGTGTTATTGCTGTGTTTCAGGAACAGCTAGTAGACAAGTAGGGCTTCCATGAAGCGAGCCAGGGAAGAATGAAAGGAAATTAAGAGTTTGATTTGTATTGCAAGTGGCACAGAAAGCCATTGGAGGGTTTTGAGCAAAGAAGTTAGGATATATTTTGTTTTAACATTTCCTTTAGCTTTTGTGTAGAGAGCAAAGTGCAGAGTTCTGTTACGGAAAACAGAAACCATGTTAGCCCATTTAAGTAGAAAGGGGGAATTTGGTGCTTCCAAAATTGTTGAAAGAATCAAAAGAACAGACTCTAGGTTGAATTTCCAAACCTGTTTCCCAGAATAACACCACATATAATTGGCACCATTGGGAGAATCAGGAAGCCACTGCCTTAGTAATTGGCCCCAGGACCTCACCACCTCTGCTAAGTTCATCACAAGTCTTGGCTCTAAGACCATGCTACCTCATTCTCCATCTACATAAGCGAGGTGGACACCCCATGACCTGCCTTTTGATGTCCACAAAACTAGGAACATTACCTTGGGATCTCTGTGACTGCTGATGCAGAAGAATCAAAAGCTTCCAGCACCATGCTCCCTAACAGAAAACAGAAATCACAGAAGCAGAAGTAGGGACTCTGCTTCACTCCCCCTTCCAAATCACATACAAGTTCGTCTACTTGGCAGAGGTTACATCATCTGTGGAATCCAGGCTGTTATGGGGCATGGGAAATATAGTCTTTAGCTTTCCAACCTCTATCATTTAGTAAGGTCTACTACAATTGGGGTTGGAATAGAGTGAAATGAGCTAATCTATGATATTTGCCACAGGAGACAAGATCAGAGGTAGGGGAGCCAGTTAGAAGCTACTATAGTTGTCCATCCACCTGAGAAATAATGGTAACTGGACCAGAGTGAAAAGGTGAAGGTATAGAAAAGTGGTTGGATTTAACATTTTACTCTTAAGTAGGACTTGTTTATAAATTGAGGCAGGGTTGATGTTAAAAAGGTGTGAAAGAATAAAAATTAAAACTTCCAATCACCTCTACCCCAGCCACGCAATTTTCTTCCTGAGCCCTCAAGCCTGATTCAGAGGCCCCTCGAATGTATATCACAACATCACATTGTATTGGAATCCCTTGTTTCACTGTGTATATTTCTACTAAAATTTCACTTCCTCAGAAGCAGAACATGTGACTGGTTGTGCAGGGCACAGTGCCTGAACATGGTACAATGTCAATAAATATTTTTCCAAGAATGGTTGAAGGAGATGAGTGAAGTAGTGCCTAGAAACATACAAACTACCAAAACTGACTGAAGAGTAAATACCAAATCTGAATAAACTGTAGCAAGTAAAGAGATTGACTCAGTAATCAAAACATTCCAACAAAGAAAAGCCCAGGACCAACTGGCATGACTGGATAATTCTACAAATTATCTAAAATATTAATACCAATCTTTCTCAAACTCTTCCAAAAAATAGAAAAGTATGGAGAGCCTTCTAACTCATTCAGAAGGTCAGCATTACTCTGATATCAAAGCCAGACAAGAAAAGAAATATACAGGCCAACATCTGTTATGAATACAAATGCAAAAATCTTGAACAACATACTAGCAAACTGAATCCAGCAGCATTTTAAGAGGAGTATACATCATGACTATGTGGAATTTATCTCAAGAAGCCAAAAGTACTGCAATATATGAAAATCAATCAATGCAATAGAGTGCACTGATAGAATGAAGGTGGGAATAAACAGGTGATCATCTCAATTTATGCAAAAAATGAATTTTACAAAAGCCAACACCCTGTCATGATAAAAAAAAAACACTCAACATACCTGGAAATAGAAGGGAAGAAATTCCTCACAAAATAAGAGACATTTATGAAAATCCCACAACTAACATCATATAAATGGTGAAAGCTGAAAGGTTTCTCCCTAAGGTTAAGACAATGATGCTGTCTTTTGCCATTTATACTCAGCATCATACTGCAAGTTCTAGCCAGACAAATTAGATATGAAAAAAAGAAAAAGGCATCCAAGTAGGAAAGGAAAAAGTAAAACGCTCTATTCAGAGCTGGAATGATCCTATGTAGAGAATATCTCAAAGGATTCCCCAAAAAATATTTAATTGAATTGGGCAAATTTTCAGGATACAAGATAAACACAAAAAAATTAGTGATATTTCTGTATACATTCATGCGCCACATAACAACATTTCAGTCAACAACAGACCGCATATAAAACCACGGTCCCATAAGATTATAATGGGAGCTAAAAAATTCCTATGGCCTAGTGAAGCCATAGCCATCATAGCATTACTCACGTGTTTGTGGTGATGCTAGCGTAAACAAACCTACTGCACTGTAAATCATATAAAAGTCTAGCACATACAATTACATACAGTACATAATACTTGATAATGACAATAAACAACTGTGTTACTGGTTTATGTATTTACTAAACTATATTTTTATCAGTAATTTAGAGTGAAGTCCTTCTACCTATTAAAGAAGTTAACTATAAAACAGCCTCAGGTAGGTCCTTCAGTGGGTATTCTGGAAGAAGGCATTGTTATCATAGAAGATGGCAGCTCCATGTGTATTATTGCCCCTGGAGACCTTCCAGTGGGACAAAATGTGGAGGTAAAAGACAGTGATATTGATGATCCTGACTCTGTGTAGGCCTAGAGTAATGTGTGTTCTTGTGTCTTAGTTTTTAACAAAGAAGGTTAAAAAGCAAAAACAAAAAAAATTGAAAGAGAGAAAAGCTTTAAAATGTGGATATAAAGAAAGAAAACATTTTTGTACATTTATACAATGTATTTGTATTTTGAGCTAAGTGTTATTACAAAACAGTGAAAAAGTTTAAAAGTTTATAAAGTACAAAAAGTTACAGTAAGCTAAGGTTAATTTATTATTGAAGAAAGAATTTTTATAAATTTAGTGTAGCACAAATGTACAGTGTTTATAAAGTCTACAGTAGTGTGCAATAATGTCCTATGCACACTACTGTATAGGACACAATGCCAATTCTGCAAGGTCCATTCATGGTAAATGACCTATACAGATATACCATCTTTGCCTTTTATACTATATTTTTACTGTATTTTTTCTATGTTTAGACATGTTGATATACACAAATATCTATCATTGTGTTGCAATTGCCTACAGGATTCAGTACTGTAACAAGCCATGCAGGTTTGTCTATGTTGTGTGAGTATGCTTTGATATTTGTGCAATGACTAAGTCGCCTAATGATACGTTTCTCAGAATGGATCCCCATAATTAAGTGACGCCTGAAGGTACTAGCAATGAACAATCCTAAAAGCAAGTTAAGAAAACAATTCCATTTACAATATCATCAAAAAGAATATAATACTTGGGAATAAACTTAACCAGTGTAGAGAAAGGCTTTTATACTGAAAACTATGCATTGATGAAAGAAATTAAAGAAGAAACTGATCTATGGAAAAACGTCCTGTGTTCCTGGATTGGAAGATTCAATATTGTTAAAATGTACATATTACCCAAAGTCATCTGCAGATTCAATGCTATTCCCATCAAAATCCCAATGGCTTTCCCCCCCACAAAAAAAAAATCCTAAAATTCATATGGAACTAAAAAAGATCCAGAATAGCCAAAGCAGTCTTGAGAAGGAAAACAAAGCCAGAGACATCACACTTCTTGATTTAAAAATAAATTACAAAGCTAGGTAATCAAAACACCATGATACGTGCACTTAAAAATTTGTTAAAAGGGTAGATGTCACAGTAAGTGTTCTTACAACAAAAAACAAACAGAACAGAACAAAAAAGAGGCATAAGGAAACTTTTGGAGATGATGGGTGTATCTATTGCTTTGATTGTGGTGACGGTTTCAAGGGTATGTGCATATGTATAAGCTCATCAAATTGTACTTATTAAATATGTATGGGTTTTGGAGATCACTTAGACTTCAATAAAGCTGTTCTTAAAAATACACAATGAGATACTACTTTACTCACTAAGATAGCTATAATTTTAAAAAATTGTAAATGTTAAGTGTTGGTAAAGATACGAAGAAATTGGACCTTTATATATTACCGATGAGAATTTTAAATGGTATAGTCTCTATGGGAAACACTCTGGTAGTTCTTCTACAAGTTAAGCACAGAATTACCATTTGACCTAGCAATTCTACTCCTAGGTATATACCCAAGATAATTGAAAACAGATGTTATCACACTGTGTGTACACAATGAAGACATATACTTGAGTTTTCATGGTAACACTTTTCACAATATCCACAAGGTGGAAACTACAGAAATGTCCATCTACCGATGAATACATAAAACAAGATGGGGCATATCTATACAATGGAATATCATTCAGCCTTAAAAAGAAATGCAGTACTGATACATGCTACAATGTGGATGAATATGGAAAACATTAAACTAAGTATATGAAGCTAGTCACGAAAGGCTACATATTGCATGATTCCATTTATATGAAATATCCAGAATAGACAAACTCATAGAGATTGAAAGTAGTTTAGTGGTTGACAGGGCTGGGGGGAAGGGGGTATGAGAAGTGACTGCTTAATGTGTAAAGGGTCTCCTTTGGGAGTGGTGAAAATGTTTTGAAGCTAAATGGAGGTGACTGTTGCACAACTCTGTGAAAACACTAAAATACATTGAATTGTACGCTTTAATACAGTGAGTTGTATGGTATGTCAATTATATCTTAATAAAGATGGTATTTTTAAGAGAAGAAAGAAAAAATGGATGGAGGGGTACTGTATCACCTGCTAAATAGTCCACCTATTTAGCAGCCTGGTGAATCTATACTAAGGGGCTCTTCTCACTCATTGCCAGTGTCGCTGGATGTGAAACCCTTTGGGTAGTCAGAAACTGAAATCCAACTCCAAGTGAGGGGCATGATATCTAACCTTACTCAAGCCAAGAAACACTTTGCTGGGCTGTATTTCTCCTTTTCTCTCTGGCAGGGTGGGGTGGTGTTTGGTCTCTTTAAGCACACTATACCTCACTATACCAAACTGGAAATGTAAAGAAATCCTGTATCTTGCCCTGTGCTCCATTGTGAACCAGCACCGTGTCCACATCGATATCCGAGATGAAGTTGCTGACAGCAGAGTATAAACGCTGAAGCTGCTGCTGTAAAAATTTCCCTGACAGTGTGACTAGAAAGTAAAGGGAGTCATCATTTAGTTCAACATGGACTGAGAGCCTTGAATGAAACTCTGTTTGAGATATTTAAATTGTACAGTACCAATAAAACACGAAGCCAAGTCAAATCATTAGAAATTCCAAGATAACATGACAAGGTGGTCCCACCTTGTTAGGGTTTTTGATGCGTCTATGTATAAGCCAATAACTGTGCTCCATGTCCCCCAAAGAAAATCTATGCCAAGTGGTCCGTTGCTTTGTAAATTGCCACATCTAAATTAAGAAGGTGAATTAATTGTTTAAAAATGAATTGTGGTTCGTTGAACTTAGTAGTTTGCATATTACTTGGGGTTCTCAACTCTTCTTATAGTCTAGTGTGTGTAGAAAAAGGCCTCTATTCATCTCCCAGGCTTTAGGAGCTTCAGGCTGGGGCAGACACATTTGGGACACATCCCAGGCACTGACTCCCTCTGGCCTGCATTCTGCAACCTTTCTATACATGTGCCTCTGCCCCAACCAGAATCACATAGCTTATCCCAGTAACTACGGGTAAGTCCGGCCTACTCCAATGACCCATATTTTTGTTCTCTTCATCCCATTTGTCTTACTGATTGGCCAGAAAACAGCCACCTAACTCCAGAAGATTTCCCATTACTTGAGCATTGACCATGTGCTCAGCAATTGTTTTAGGTATTTTCCATGTATTAATTCATTTTACACCATAAGGAATTCCTATTACTATACCCCTTTGAGGTGAAGAAACTGAGGCACAGAGAAGTTAGGTAATTTGCTTAAGATCACACAGAAAGTGAGTGTCAGAGCTGGGATTCAAATCCAGACAGTTGGGCTTCAGAGCTCAAGCTCTGACCTCCATCATGTCTTCTCCACTCCTGACTGGAAAATGGAAGGATAATAGTACCCAGATTACAGCACTATTGTGGTGATTAAATTATTATTATTGGTTTCTGGAGTAGGCTGGCCATTTTCTCAGCAGTGGGCTGGAATAGGGAGTACATTTTGCAAGTCAGGTGTCTGGAACAAGCATTTAGTTTAATGAATCTAAGTGAATCTAAAGTGAAGTACTGTATAAGGAGAGTCCTATAATAGTGCATTTCATTGGGAAGAAGCTGTCTCACTATATTTACATCTAATGGAACACAAGAAGGGTCATTTTGACTTTATTTCTAAAGCTGACTCCCAAGTAGCACCTTCAATTCAAAATAAAGCTTTTCTGGTCATCATAACTTCTGGAACGGTGTCATGCACTTGAATATGAGTGCACCCTGTTCTGAAAGCCCTTTGCCATACTTTAGTGGTGAAAGTGTTAGTAAACATCGCTTTGGTGGCTGTTTGTCCACTAGCGCATGTTGGCCCTTCACGCTCCACCTCAACCCATTAGGCACCATGTGGAAGAAATGTGTCCAGGGGAACGATTCACTACATAAGCAATGCTCTTATAAACATCAGGAACATGGGAGCTGACAGAAGGACTGCAGCGAGTTCCTGTCATCTTCTTTTACAGAAATTCATGCTGCCCAAATAAATGCTCTACTCACTTCTGGTTTCTATGCTAGCCCACTCTGTAAATTCAAGGGATTAGATGAATGCAATATGCCCATATCCTGAAGAGCAAACTAGAGAATGGCTCAATTCTTAAAAGCCCCATAATCCTCAAGAACAAACCAAAGGCTTAAGGTAGTCAAGCTCAGAAGCTAAGAAATGAATCAAATAAACAGTTTAAACACCTTTCCCTTGGGCTTGGCTTTTCTAAAGGAGAGAAAAGGTCATCAGGGGAGCAAATGTGGCTCCTTGTTGATTAATTAAGAGCACTTAGGCAACATTCAGCAGAATCAATCATTTGTAGCCTGAGTTTTTTTTCACTCAGACTTCTAAATTGTCAATTCGTCCCTAAAATTACTTATGTAATTTGTGCTTTTAGGATGTCAGGTGTTAAAATTACTTTTCAGTACAACCCACAGAAACCCTGACTGGGTTTATTCATTTATTTCTTTAATGAGGTAGGGATTCAGGGGAGAAATCATGGTGGACAAGAAGAGTTTGTTTTCAAAATGAGGAGAGATATGGAGAGAATGTAGCTACTGATGAGAGAAATGAAGCTCCCAGACTTTTAAGGGAAATAAGATGCACACACAGGACTCCAATAAAAGGCACCATGTGATCAGGACACAAATAGAGCCACCCAGTCAAAACCCTCACAGCTAGCTTTGGGGAAAAGGGTATCCGGTCTCGGGTTTAAAAGATAGATTTAATTTTGGCAGATGAAGGAGACAAACTGAATAACTGCCAAGTGGGGGTCACTCAGAGAAAGGCCAGTAGCCCCTCTGCACTGGAGCTGGGTGGGAATGACAGGAAGGAGGAGGAGGAAGGAGCTAAAAGTGTAAGTTAGAATCAGAGTGGATTACAGATAGGGTGAACACCAAATGGGCAAACTAATTAAAAGGCTATTACAAGAGTGCAAGACAGGGATGAAGGCCTGAACTGGGGGTAGGAGCAGGGTGTGAGGAGGACGCAGTGGGGAGAAGCATCACAGAGATAGTCTCAAAGGTCAAATTGAAAAATCGGTGGTGATGCCACACAGTGAAGCCAAGATAAGCAGCAAGCATTCTCACTGTACCACCTCCTGAAGCCTTCTCCCCAAACGGGAGTCAATTATGATTATACTGCAAAGGAGTAAATGAGAGATTAGTATGGGAGGCCCCAGCTGACTGAGTCAAAGAGTAAAATGAACATGCAGTCACTTCAGGGGCCTATTTGACTATGGAAGGGACATGTAGTGCTGAGGCAGTGTGCCAGGTGTGGCAGCAGCAGGCAGCACAGCTGGCAGTGTGCTCTCAAATCAGCAACAGCATTGCTGCCCACACAACATTGCCACACAGACAATGCTGCCACGCACACACAAGCCTTTGGAAAAAAACCCATTGGCACATGAGTGCTCCACTATGAGTAGAGTGGTTTCAGTAGCAACATTTGTATCTGCATTTCTATTCCTTGGGATTCTTAGAATTATAAAACTCAAGGCTAGACTGGACCTCAATTTTCGACTGGTCCAACCATTAGAATCCTTTCTATAATGTTCCCACAAAATGGTAATGCAGTCTGTCCTTGAATATCTCCAGGAATGGGGAACGCTAGCCCCATCTTTGGCTAGCCCTGCTATTGCTTCTCTTTTGTCCACTCTTCCCTAGCAATTACTGTGTCAGTAACTATTGAAGGCGCTTTGCCAACTTGATTGCACTTAATCCCCACAACGTCAAATTTTACAGATGAGGAAACTGAGGATCAAGGAGAGAAAGTGACTTGTCACACAGCTGATGAGTGGCAGAGCTGGGATTTGAGCTGCTAAATTTGTCTGACTCTGGTGCTTCCTCCATTAGAAGTAAATCTAAGCCAATCTGTCTCCTTATAAATCCTACCCACTACTATAGTTACAGCATTTCTTCCAGGGAAGAGGATGCCCTCTTTGAAGTGCACTTGGAGACACAAATCTTGATCCCTTTCATCGCCTAACCACTTGAGAAACACTGACAAGACTATCAAAATGAAAGGCAAAAATGGCCACATAGCAACACTTTCAGAAGGGTGTCCTATTCCTGACTCCTCAGTGTGGCTCTCAGGCTTCTGCTGTCCCAGGGGTCACCAATGAGCCTTCTAACCAATAAATATGATGGCCATTTCCAAGTCTTCATTTTTCATGAGCTCCAGCTTATGGAAAATTTATTTTCATTTCTGGGATGCTTCATTCAACAAATATCTTTTGAGTGCCTACCATAACCCAGACTCTGGACTGTGTTCTAGGCAGGCACAAGATGAACCAGAAATAGTCCCTGGACTAAAGGAGTGCCCAGTCAGTCTGTCGTGGAAGACAGCTGAAAGGCAGTAATGACAATACGGGAGTCAAATGTTGTTCCACAGGACTGTCGAAGGCTCCCTTGTAGCATGAAGGAAGAGGTCACTATCTTTGCTTGGCCAGTTGGGAGAAAAGCTTCATCACAGCTGAGCTGGGCCTTAAAGGATGAGTAGAAATGTGCTGGGCAGGGAAAGTGGTGATCATATATACAAATTCCTGTGTAACATCGTCACTTAGACGCCTAACATCAAAGCAAACTGAAAATGTTCAAAATAAAATTATTGGCTATTCATGCACTTTAACTTCTTCCTCCCAGAGTCTTGCCCAACTCAATAAATGGCAAATCAGTTACCCCACCTAGTCAGGCCAAAACTCCGGAAATCCTTTGTAACTTGTCTCTTAATTTCATATTCTCTGTCTGATCTGTCAGAAAATCCTTTCAACTCTGCCTTGAAAAGATATCCAGAATCTGACCACATCTCACATCTTCCTCTGCTACCACCCTGGTCTGCTGAGCCCATCATCTGTCACCTGGGTTATTGCAGCAGCTTCCCGACTGCTCTCTGTGCTTCTGCCCTACCCCCACCCCAGGAACCTATTCTCCAATAGGCAAAAAGCATGATCCCACTGTCATGATATAAATATGCTCATGTCTTTCCTATGTCCAAATCCGCCATCAGCTTCCTATCTCACTCTGTGTAAAAGTCAAAGTTCTTATCATGGTTTACAAGTCACTACACGATCTAGCCCCCGTTTATACTTTGGCCTCACCTCCTATTTCTCTTCTTCTTCACTCACTGTGTTCCAGCCTCACTGGCCTCCTTATTATTCTTTGCATACACCAAAAACTTCAGGCATTTCCCCTTGTTGTCCACTCTCCTGGAATCATTTTCCCGTAAATGTCTATACGGCTTTACACCCTCTCTTTAAGGTCTCTGCTCAAATGTCTGCCTTCACAATGAGTCCTTCCTTGACCACCTTATTTAAAATAATGTCTTTGCCCTCCAATCATTACCACCTCATTTGCCCAGCATTCTCTACTCTCCTTCCCTGATTTGCTTTTCTTTGTTGCACTTATCATCATCTAATAAACCAGATACTTTATTCATTTCAATTCTGTGTAATCTGCCTCCTGTTCCTATATAATATAAGCTCCACTATATCAAGGATTTCTTTCACTGTTTTTTTTTCTACTTTTATATCCCTGTTCTCAGAGTAGTACCTGGCACCTAAAAGGTACTCAGTGAACAGCTAATCAATGAATGAGTGATGACTTTCTGAATATGGGGGTGGGGAGATAGAAGGAAATGCTATAGATGTCTTATAGGTCCCAACCAGGTCCCAACTGAATATCAGTCCACCGAGACTGAGAACACACCAAAAGGAGCATATTTGCAGAGTACTAGGAGAAGACTGAGATATTTTGGATTCAAGCTACCTGTAAAACATGCAGAAAGAGTTGTACATGGGACTTTAGACTAATGGTACAGGCACTGAGATGAGTGCCAGAGTCTATTTATCAAGTTAGGCTAAGCTTTGCTGAAATGATAACTAAGTCCCTAAATCTTAGCAACTTAGCATATCAAAGCTTGATTTCCAGGTCACACATGGTCAGATGCAGGTCACATCCTCTATCGGAAGACTCAGGGTCTAGGTTCTCTCCATATTTGATATTCCCACTTCAACATATGGCTTTCAGGGTCGACAGGGCAAAGAAAGAGAGCTTAAGGATAGTAAACTGACTCTCAAATGCTTCATCCTGGAAATAGTCTGTGCCACTTATGTTTGCATTTCATTGTCTAAAACCAGTTACATGGCCCCAACTAACTGAAAGGGGCCTGCAGATGGAAGTGAGTGCTACTGAATCTGTCTCAGAGATCGTGCAGAAAAGCATGGTTTTGAGCAATTTGGAGAAGTACAAGGGACTAGAGTTGCTGAAAGATTCAATGCCTTATTATGAATTATCGCTGTTACCACAAATGTAGAGTATACTGATGTCAAAAGACTATCTAAAAGAAAATCCTCTGGTCAGGTAGAACTTAACCTGAGGGAGGAGCAGAGAGCACACGGCTAAAGATACAAGAGTACATTAATTAGGGGCTAAGGGGGGTTGTGTAACCCAAAATGATTTGAGGACAGGTGCAAGACTAGCAGGGTGTATTAGTCGGCTCTCACACTGTTAATACATACCCGAGACTGGGTAATTTATAGAGGAAAGAGGTTTGTTTAATTGACTCACAGTTCAGCATGGCTGGGGAGGCCTCGAGAAACTTACAGTGATAGCTGAAGGGGAAGCAAGCACATCCTTCTTCACATGGTGACAGCAAGGAGAAGTGCCAAACAAAAGAGGGAAAAGCCCCTTATAAAGCCATCTGATCTCATGAGAACTCATTCACTATCACGAGAACAGCATGAGGGTAACCGCCCCCATGATTCAATTACCTCCTACCAGGTTCCTCCCACGACACGTGGGGATTATGGGAACTACAATTCAAGATGAGATTTGGGTGGGGACACAGCCAAACTATATCACAGGGGTAAGGGAGTCACGTAAGAAAGCAGCCTTTCTCACCAGGTGTACCACATGTGGCCACTCTGGCTGTGCCCTCCACAGCTCCAGGAGATATCCGTTCATGATTTGTACAGGATCAATGTTTCTCACCCCTTGGGAACAGGGGCAGGGATGCACAGAAGTTAGCCATCACCATCCTCACTGAGGGGCAGAGTAGCTGATGGCAGCAACTACCGCAGTGTAGAAATAAAGGTCTATCCATTTGCGCACTAAAACTTCCTCCTTCAAAAAGGTCTCTGCTCCCTGTGCTTATCCCCCTCTGTTTCAGTGAGCTTCTGCATAAGGTGTTTTGCTGCTGTTGTTGGATTCGGAGAAACAATTATTTAATAGATAAATGGAAAGGTTTGTTCCACAATTAGACCAGGAGAGCTGAGGCCCTCTAGTGGCTCTATCTGGTAGTGACCGCAGCCTTTCCAGATGGAGAAAGGAGAAATCTGACTGGATAAGGGAGGTGAGGTCCCAAAGCTAGAAGTTGTGATGGAAAGGGAGTCCTTTTTGTCTGGATTCTCCCATTAACAAGTAGGCATTATTACCACCCCCATATTCCAGATGATAGAGCTGAGCTTCAGAGGCTGAGACACATGCCTAGGTATAATAGCTGGTGACAGAGCTCCAATCTAGATCTTCAAGTTCATAATCAAATGCCCCTTTAATACACTACGATACAACCTGTCCTTGGGAGAAAAACTCTAGAGTTAGTGGAGTATTCTCACCGCTCCTGCTCTTTCATAGTTAGGGAGGGAGATGCTTTTAGAAGATGCTATACCTAATACAGTGCCCGTTTCTGCAGGCTTGGGGGAGAGAGGGAGCTGTGACCTACATAAAATGTGAATTCCGAGAAAAAGTGAAGAGAAAATATGGAACCTCAGAATCAAAAATTCAGCACCCCCTCCCTTTGTGACAGTTAGTCAAAATTGTGGGTCACATACTGCATGCTATAAGTGAAGGTAGGTCTGTGTCTTCACTGTCAGACAGCATTCTGATTGATTTGAGGTTAGGCAATAGAGAAGGCTTTCCTGCCCTCCCACTCTCCTCTCTTGGAAAAAGGGATTTCTGTGGTAATGGTGGTGGTGGTGGTGGTGGTGGTGGTGGAAGAGTCCTTAAGGGTACATAAAAATGCTTGTCCCTCAAGTAGAATAAATGCATGAAGGATTTTGAGCCAAACACAGGAGCTCTGATACCACTTCCCACATGGAGCAGAATTTCCTCTATTCTACCCATGACAGGAGGCCATTCATTCAGTCTTTGTATAAACAGCTCTAGTAACAAATAAGGAGCCCACACTCTCAAAAGACAGCCTATTTTATTTGTAGCTCAGTGTATTATAATATAAACCCCTGCAGGAATGTTACTGTGCTCCAGCATGAGATAGCCCAAGGAGCAATTGCATATAGTGAAGCCCAAGTGTAGGAAGACACCCTGAGAACCACAGAACTGTTCATTTTGTATGTTTTTCCTTAGAAATAGTGAATGATGAGGGCAGGGTAAGCAGAAGGGAACTCTTCTACAAAGATTCACTTTTATTCTGGTTTCTCTTAGGAAGCCATATATAAGCACATTTCTCCAGCCTTAGACCTCAGCAGCAACTAGCATTTCACACCCATGGAAAATATTTGCCTCTTTGATGGCCCATGAGATGACGGACACACACCGATAGAACAATGGCCTTCCAAGCATGACAACTAGGGAGGGCTCATAGGTGTCAGGTTGTTCTAACAAGTGCCTTTTTCAGCATGGAAAAAAATGAGTAAAAGCATTCTAAAGTCCAGGGTCTAACTTCCATCCCCTAGTCTCAGTCTCTCCTGTTCTTGCTCTAGGTCAGGAACTCATTATTTTTAATTGGACCAGTAATATAGCCTTCTTTGCTTCTGGCTTTCTTTACTTTCACTACAACGTGTCTAGGAGTAGATTTCTTTTAATTTATCTTGCCTATGACTTATTGGGCTTTTTGAATCTGTGAATTCAAATTTACAGCCGTCATCTTCAACTGGGACTTCAATTAAATATATGGCAGACCTTCTCACTCTACTAATTGAGTCTCTCATCCTCCCTTTTTTATTTTTCCAAATAATTTGTTTCTCCAGACAGAACTCTGGGCAATTTCTTATAACCTATCTTCCAATTCAATAATTCTCTTTTTAGTTGTGTTTAGCCTTCTCTTAAACCCATCCATTAAATTCTCAAGTTTCATTGTTATAGTCTTTAGTATAACTACACTAGTTATAGTTTAGTTTTTCACCTTGATTTTTTTCAAAATAGCTCTATTAGTCTTTATGATTTTCTGTTCCTTACAGATATTTTCAAACTTATTTTTAATTTTTTGGAATAAAGTGAACCATAGTTATTGTAGTCTTTGTCACGTAACTCTGATACGTGAAGTCTTTGAGAGTTTGTTTTTGTTGTCTACTGGCTGTCATGGTCTATGTGTTTCCTTTTATGCCAAGTTATCTTTGACTATACGCTGACATATTTTTGAAAAATTATTGTACAAATGATTCTAGGCCCAATATGATAATACCTTCCAGCAGAGTCTTTTCATTTGCTGGGGTATTTTCAAATGCCTGAGGATACTACTTGTCCAAGGCCACTTTAATCCAAGATCAGGGCTTTAGGTTCCTTGGACTGCCCATATGATGAGTATCTAGGTTTACAAGACCACACAAGGGCTGGTTACTTATAGGTCACCATTAACCCAAAGGGGTAGCCACTCAGGGTCTCAGCTGAGAGTGACAAGAATGCTAATCAAATCCGCTACTTCCTTGGGCCTTGAGCTTTCACTTTTTTCCTTATGATGCCACCAAAACTGCAGCTCAATTTCATAACTCTCTTCCAGATTCAGTAGAAGCCATCAGGACAAAAGAGGATTCTAGTGCTGGGCTTTCCCCCCTGGGTTCTTGTCTTCTTCCGGATTTTAGCCTCAGTATCTCTCAGTTCTTTATGACAATTATTTCTTTCTACATTCAGCCAGTTTGTTTCATTGTCCTCACTGGAACAGCTAGTCCAAGTTACCTAGCTGGCCATTACCAGAAGGAGATGTGTGCTCTTCTTGCCCCCAGTCCCTCTCCCTCCCAGTTTTTCCTTCAGTGCGAAGGTGCCACTCTGATTGTATCATTCCCTTGCACAAATCCTTCAGAAGATTACTGTTGACTCTAAAATAAAATACAATTTTTTATTTTAGAAAATTAGGACCCAGATTCTTTCTCTTGCCTCATTCATTACACAAGAATTTATTGTACACTGAGTGTGTGTTGCTTACAAAGTCAGGTTCTGCCTAATCTCTCACCTCTTACCTATCTCACCTGTTGTCTTACCTCCAAACTTACTCTACCCTTTAGCCAAACTGGAATATTCACTGTCGTGTGCAGAGCTGGGTCAGAACACAGATGGGCTAACTTCCAGATGAGTGTTCTTTGTCCTACACCATTATCCCATATTCAGGTTTAAGCTTATTCAATCTAGATCTTTATGGATATTATAATAAATTAACTAGGCAAACGCTCAATAAGTACAAATTATAATGGCATTTTTGTATTTCTTGTATTTTGGCTATCCTTTTCTTGTGAGTCAGAAATTTCAATGAAGCATTACCTCTAGGGAGACCCGAAGTAGGGGAGGGCCTTCTGGGATGTAAGTTCTGGAAGAGAATTCATCGTTGCCGTCAACTTTTTGTCAATCTTCATAGTCACAAGGGTACCTAAGAACAAAATTTCAGGCTTCAGGCTTGTTTCCCCTAACAAATGAGCGACCAGACCAATTGCCTGTGGAATTTGATTCCTCAGTGCTGGGAACATCCCACATTCAAACAAATCTGCTCCCACCTGCTGGTGGTTGCTAGAACTTCCAGTCAAAGCTGACTTAGACTGAAAACGCACTCTTCTCGAAGTAAGCAGACCTGGAAATGTGGTTTTTAGTTTTGGCCTCTGCTACTGTGTGACCTTGGGCCAATCCCTTTTTCTTCTCTGGGCTTCAGTTTCCCTACATTACAACCGAG
Organism: Homo sapiens; assembly: GCF_000001405.40. Taxonomy (NCBI): domain Eukaryota; kingdom Metazoa; phylum Chordata; class Mammalia; order Primates; family Hominidae; genus Homo; species Homo sapiens. Next base: position 152,636,285 of record NC_000023.11, read on the forward strand.
GTGGCTGGACAAAATGCCCCGGAATGGCTCTAACATTTTTGGCAAACAAGGATTTTCTCTACAAGGACGTCTGTGTGACCAGAGGTGATGGGACAGGACTGGTAGCAGTAGAGGTGGGTTTAATCTGCTCTCATATGTGATCCTGACAAATGGGTCCCATCATCCTTTTTTCTTACTGCAATGGCCAGGGAAAGAGGGGAGATGGGAAAGAAAGGTGTGAGGGTGTTCTGCTCATTAAAAGAAGGCAGGAAACTATGAGAGACATTTTTCATAAAAGTATGGTTCTAAAATGATTTTAAAGGGGGAGTGGTAAAAGAGTTAAACCCTCAGCTGTGCAAAACTGCTTGGCCTACCAGGTAAGTCATGCTTTGCTGGGCACCAGCAATCTCAACTCATTTCATCAAATACTGAGGGGAAAAAAAGGGGGAGATGTTGTGTTTCTCAGTGAATGTTCTAGGTAACCAAAAGTAAACCTGAAATCCGTTTTGATTTCAACTCTTCTCAATGGTGTGATGTGGGAGGTGGCATGCCGGTGAACATGGCAGCTCTGTTTGTTGATTACCCATTTGCCCTATGGGCTCTGGTGAGGCCACTTTCTAAGCTTTCTGAACTTGCTTTGTCATGGGATAGGAAGGACATAGGAAATTGGGTGGAGGCATTTCTTATCCTCCACGATTTTTCTGTCCCATAGGGGCAGAGTCTGAGGTAGTGGAAAGAATAAGAGCCCTCTAGTCAAGATGTCAGGCTTTTCCATATGATGGGGTCAGAACCCAGGAACATTGGCATACCCTGGTCTCCAGTGCCTAACTCCCTTGAACACCCCAAACACTGACCTTGGCCTTTTTTTCCCCTTCTATGGTGTCAGCCATGAACCTTCATTCTGCATCCCCTGGCTGATGAGACACAACCACATCTCAGAGAGACCCCAGTTGGTGAGCCCTTCCAGTTCCTTGAGTCTTTTTCCTGAGTACCCAAAGTTGGGGTGAAGAGCACTCTAGGAAATTTAAGTCTTAAGCAACTCTTGGGCTCCTGTAGCCCAATGTCCATCCTGAGGGAGGAGCAGTCCTGCTGTGGCCAGAGCCCTGTAACAAAACCCATTAGGATCCTCCTTGACCTTATCCAGAGACAAGGCACGCGGGGTTACTGGAGGCTCAAGGGTACGGAGTCACCAGCCGTTGGGTACCTCCTGACGCCCAAAATTGTCCAAGTCTTTCAGAATGCAGATTCAGCCATGGCGGTCAAATTACCACACTCCCTTCACCATCAAATACAACTCTCGGGCACAGGCCCTTTCTTCCAAGAAAAACACACATTTCGCATTTTGCAGAGAAGAGACAGGACCCAGTGCCCCTTGAGGCGGATTCCTGGCCCAGCCCCCAAGGAGCCAGCCCTCCTCCCCCTCCCCCAGCCCGGCCCCGCCCTGCCTGTGTCTGGAGATGGCCGGGGGATGACTGCAGAAGCCTGAAGGGGCGGGGGCCGGGCGGCGCGCAGGCTACGGGCGGAGGCAGGAGCGCGCGCCTTTTTGTGCGGCTCCTGGCAGCTGTCCGATTGGCTGGGCCTGCGATGCCGTCGGAGTGGGCGGAGCCAGCAGCGAGCTGGGATCTGTGCCCAGTCGCAGCCAGGAGCGGCCGCAGACGGAGCGCACCTCGCAGCTGCCGGGCGGGCCCTGGGGGGAGCTGCGTCCAGCAGAGCTGCTGGGTGGTTGCTCCTCCCGGGCTCTCATCTCCGGTATCCGGGCCGACCCCCGCACCCCCTACTTCCCTTGCCCTCGCTGCTCTCTCCTTAGAGGCGACTCTTTGGGGAAGGGCCAGCAATCCCGCCTTCCCCGGCCCCAGTAGTCACCCACTCTCCCACCCCACCTCTGTTCCTTTTCGCGGCCCCGTCTCCCGCGCCCTCAGGCGCCCAGAACGCCCCGGCCATGGGCATCCGAGGCATGCTGCGAGCCGCAGTGATCCTGCTGCTCATCAGGACCTGGCTCGCGGAGGGCAACTACCCCAGTCCCATCCCGAAATTCCACTTCGAGTTCTCCTCTGCTGTGCCCGAAGTCGTCCTGAACCTCTTCAACTGGTAAGCGGGCACCGCCAGGCTAGGCACGGCGGGGACGGGAATGGAGACGGGCAGACGACCTCTGGCCTCTTGGACGGAGCGGGCTGGGGGCGACTCGGGCTGGGGGGTACTCGGACCCGGGCTCGCTGAGCCCTGGCGCCCGGGCCCTGCCTGTTGGCCCCTAGAAGGGGTAAGGTGGGAGTGGGGTGTTGAAATGGAGCCCTGTGCTTCCGCCCACCTGTTACTGCGGAGCTTGACTGAGCCCTGCGTGTGCCTAAACCGCAGCCCGAGGGGTGGGGGCGGGGGTCGCCCTCGTCCCAGGATCTGTCCATCCATCCCCAAGGATTTAAGGTTCCCGGCAGCTTTCCCCAGCTTTGGCACCTGTGGGATTGGGGAGGAGGGTACAGGATGACGGGCAATTCACAAAACATAGACAGGAGAGACACCTGTTTGAGTCTACATTTTAGTCCATTTCCTGAGGCGCGCGCGCGTGCATGCATGTGTTGAGGGGATGAGGGACTCTTTCCAATGCGGCAGATAGAAATGATTAACTCAAACCCATCGGAGCCCAGACAGTGCGATCGTGTCTGAATAAACACGAACCGTGTGGTCTGGGATGGGTGTGCTTTTGTACTTAGTCGTGTGAAAATATTTGAAGACTCCGGTTTTTTTCTCTTTTTGATTTTAAGTTTGTTTGGGTGTGCGAGTATCTGAAGCCTTTACATGTAAATCACACAGAAATGTGTATTTGGGGTGGCCACAGATCCTGAGCGTTGGCACATGGGTAATGTGTGCTTGGAAACAGGTGGGAATGCATTGCTTTAATTTGGGAATAATTCATGTGCACATTTTGGGATGCTGCAAAATGAAATTTTTGATTAAAGATGATTAGGAATAATTTTTAACAATGTTTAAATGGCAAGCCAGAAATTAACATGTACTCATAAAGGGGGGGGGGGTGTTTGGCAAGGTTCCAGCAGACAGCCCTGCAGTGCCCTTAACCCAACATACCATACTGCGCCACTGAACATGCACACATGCGCGTGCGCACACACACACACACACACACACACAAACACACACATTTGCAGGGGCTGACGTTCCCTGGGCAATGCGTCAAAGATTTGAAGAGTCACAGTGATGCCGGGGCCTGTTCTGATTCGCAAGCCCTGTTGGGGAAGGAGCCCTGTTGAAGGTCTAGGTGAATTGGGTGAGCGTGTCAGAGATCTCTGGAAAAGCCAGCTCTCCACAGAGCTGGGCTGAGTCCACTTACCTATGCTCACCCAAGACACCTCCAGGGTGGAAGCACATGCTCAGCAAGAGATATACCTGCTCCCAGAATAGATGTCTTTCCGATGAGAGCTCTGAGCCCCAAGAATCTGAAATGGTTTGGTTGGATGAGGGTCGTAAATCTCAGCTACACCAGCAAGGCTCTCTCTGTGTGTCTTATGCCATATGCCAAGTCTGGAAAACAGAGTTGTGCAGAAACAAGGTTGACATAAAAGTGACTAAAAAATGCCCAGCCCTAGCCCAGGTAAGGGGAAATGAAACTTTGAGCTCATCTTACTAGGGCACTGAGAGCAAAAGATGACTTTTCCTGGGGCAATCAGGTGCCCCTGGCAGGAGGACCCCCACCAACCTAGAAAACAGCGTCGAGGCTGATTGCAAGATGGGGCTCTTGAAGGGGCTGAAGTAATGCATTTTTCTGAGGGCTTTCATCTGCCCACTCTTCTTCGTCTCCCCTTCTCCTACCGCCTCCTCTCGTCAACCCCTACAAGTCCTGCCTGGTAACAGGGATCCAGTCTCTGAGCCCCACCCTCTGGATTAAAGCTGGGAAGGTGGGGGGGGGAGGAAAGAGGAGTCTGCGTCACCGCTGCGCTTCTGGCTGACTCACCATGGGGAGGGAGGGGAGCAGGGAGAGAGAGTGTGTACACGTATGACTGGACATGTCTGCGTATGTGCTGGAGAAGAGAAGGCCCTAGCAAGGCAACCACTGGCAAGCGGGCCCCAAGTCAACCGGCATTTACTTATGACTTCTCTGTTTCAGCAAAAATTGTGCAAATGAAGCTGTGGTTCAAAAGATTTTGGACAGGGTGCTGTCAAGATACGATGTCCGCCTGAGACCGAATTTTGGAGGTAAGGCATATCCAGACACTAGAGAACTTGGGTTAGGTGTCCTAGAGCTGAGACACAGCAAGCCAGCCCTGCCCTGTAAGCTGACCAGTGGTATCCTGCGGGCTCTACACCTGTGCCTCTCCAGATCCCACCTTCCTGACTCTGCAGAGACCAGCAAGGAAGCACCCCCAGGCCTTCTGCACCCTGTAATATCTCTCACTTCTCTGCCTTCAGATGCACGAGAGCCTTCTCCCTCCTCCACACTCCCCTTACAAAGGTGTGGCTGGCAAAGAGCTAAGCACAGAAATGGGTGTACAGGATGCGGCGCGCTGTGTTCCTCAGGCTAGAGTTTTCTGCTCCAGCTCCTGGGAGGACACATATTCTTCTACTTGAGCACATTCTTCACACCCTGGGCACTTGTCCCATTCAGCTAGTTCCAAACTGAGAGCACGGTCTTTTCTGTCTAGTGTACTTAACCCACCGAGGCCCTGGGCACTTCCACCTCAGCTCCCTCATTCTCAGTTTATATAAGACACCGCAGTCAGTGTGGTCTTTCTAAACCCAGCCGGATCACCTCAGGAACTTTTAATGGTTTTATCTAACTGCCAAATAAAATCCAAACTCCTCAGCCTAGTCCTCAGATCTCTGCTGCTGAGATTAGAAACGACAAAGAAGCTGACACACAAACCCCCAGGAAAATCATACATCAGTTCCTCCCCCATTTTTGTAATTAGCCTCCCATTTAAAAAGGGCGACTAGCCTGGACCACACAGCTTTAAGTGACAGGCAACCTACCCTGACCCGGCGTAGCAAACGCAGCATTCTCTAGCCCAGGGGACACCTAGGAAACCTAGATCAAGGGCAAACAAAAGAAACAGTCCATTAAAAAAGAGGTTAGTTACATTCCAGCTCAAAGGAAGCTCCCACTCCAAAGGGTTAATGAAAGCTAATGATCTGCATTTATGCATATGAATAGAGGTCTTCCAAATACACTCTGGCTCCACCCCAAGAAAACACAGCTGAGAGGATTCGGCCCTTGCGGTAGACCAGTTTGGCCTGGGGAGCGCCACCTTGAAAAGCAAGGTGGTAGTCCTGGGCCCTAAGCTTTGGAGGTGGGACCCTGAACTGGTGCTTCCCCTTAGCTCCCTTGCTCCCTCCGAAGTGTGAGAGCAGAAGGCACAGCCCAAGGGATTAAAGCTGAGAGCATACTGGGAAGCCAGGGTAGACAGGCCAGAAGGCAGGCTCTTTCATTGCAAAACAGCAGCGTGTCTTCTGGGTGGATCCCCAAGGGATAAAGGTCTGGCCATATGGGAATCCAGGTGTTAGAGTACAGGCAGCACGTCCTTGTATGGCAGCGACTTTGGAATCTTTTGGATCAGTTGCACCAAGCACCAATGGGTGACGTGGGAGTAGCTACTTCGTTTTTTTGTCTTGCCTTTCTCACGTTTCTCAGCAGAGACTGACCAACAACCATTTGAGTACACCAATCACCTTCTCCCCACTGTTTCAGGGCCAGGTTGACATCTCTGCAGGCATCCAGGACCGGGGGAGGGAGCAGGGGCAAGAATCAATCTCTGGGGAGGGTTACCCTAAGCTTTGTGGACGTGCACACCTGCAGCGTGTGAGAAAAGCTGGATCCCTGGCTTGATTTAGCCAAACCGATGAAGGTAGGAGGGCAAGGACAACTCAGGACCTTCTAGCATTTAAACAGAAGGGGGCACCACAGGCTCTAGGTCTGAGGCTGTTGCATGGTGCGTGTGGGAAGAGAGACCAGTTGATGGGATAGCTGGGCCAAGGCAGTCAGCGCCTGGGGACTCCAGGACTCCCCCACTAGACACAGCGTCAAATTCCCCTCTGTGTGAGAGGTGGAGTAGAGTTTCAGGGCATACTTCCCCTCACTTCCCCACACATCCTCCACATGCAGAGGCCTCACTTAACTGTGGCCCAGTTCAAACAGGAGCCTTATTCCTTCCTTGCATACGGGGGACAGTGAGAAGAGGAGGAGGATGAAAAGGAGGAGGAGGATCCAGAGAAAATTAACAAAGCCAATTCCTTCTAGGCAAGAGAACTGGGACTCTGCATTGTGGCAAAAGGCCGCCCTTGAGGGCCTCACCTAGCTTAGCACCTGGCATGATTTAGGCACCCGATATTGTGAAGGAATGAAGGAGATATTTTCATTCCTTCATTCATCTGCTAGATAGGAAGTACAGTTGAGGCAGGAAAGGTTCCAGGAGAAAGGGAGGTGATTACCCCTACCACTTTGCCTGCCTTCCTGAGGGGGCAGGGTGGGACAGTGATGGGCTGGGGCCACCATCCTAGACATGGTATTTGGACTCCTTATCAGGACGTTTCTCATCCCCTCCCCACCCCCATTATCTGTTTAGGGATATGGGATTCCTCATCTAAATTCTCATCCTGACAACTACTAGCACAAAGGGGATAAATTAGAAGAATGTCCCCTTCCTCTGAGCTGCATCCCTGTGCCAGGACTCATGGCTTGGTGAGGGGAATGTGAACTGCATTTCAGCTCCCACTTTCCCTTCAACTAGGAGTCCTTGGACAGGTTTCTGGCCTAGCCCTTCGGGGTCGCCAGCATTCCACCATAAGGAAAGGAGTTGCCTGAATCATGCGGAATGGTCTAGAGAAGTCTAACACTGAGGTGTAGCTGGCTGGCCCCTCTGGAGCTTGTTGCCTGCCTAACACAGCTTCCCTTCTCTAAAGGCATGTGGGGAGCCCGAAAGGCGGCCATCAAGAACTGTGTTTCTTGGAACTCCTGTCACCACGTAACACTTTTCTGGGGCTTCTTCACAACAGGCCTGGATGCTGGAGTCTGGGCTGTACCCCAACACAGAGGCTCATTTACTTCACGGCTGCCATTCAGATGCTTATTCCCAATAGAGCTTTCCTTTGTGAAGCTTTGGGCTTGGAATAACACATTTCTCTCTTTGCAGCTCAGCTTCTGGGCAATCAGCCTGCAGTAAAACCAGCAGGCTGAATTGCAGGCGTCATGCATGTTTCCCTAGCAGCAGTGTGATGTAATACATGGAGACTAAGGGCTTTGCTGTGGGACTGGCTGTAGAAAGCTTTGAGATGAGGAGCGAACGATAAAAACGGATTTGCCCACAGTGCCTTACAGTGTAGTGTACTACATATTTTCACATCCATGAACACATTTGAGTACTGCAAGTGGACAGTGCTAACACCTGGGTGTGAACAAAAGCTAGGAGGCAGAAGTGCACTAACACAAACATTCACACACTGTCACACTCACACATTAACACACACAATTACCCTCTCCTGTGCACTCACCCCCTCACATGAACATGCTCACAATTTCATTCTCACACATAGACACACCCACTGAGCATGATCACACATTCACTTAGTCTCACACATTAGCATGCTCACATACACCAAACACACTCACAAGTCCACATCCACACATGCACATATGCACGCGTTCACTCAAACTCAAACATGCTCACACACACATGCAAATTTATTCACTTTAACACACATGCACATTCACTCACACAAACATGCTCACACATCCAAACACCTTCACGAATTTATTCACACACTTTAACATGCTCACACGTGCAAACATGCTCACACATTTACTACACACGTTATATACGAGACCACGCTCAAATTCACTCACACATTAACACACATACCCACAAACACGCTCCCACATCTACATACACATATGAATATACTCACATTCACCCACACACAAATAGGCCCACATACACAAACACACTCACAAATTCACTCAAAAACGACACATATTAACATCCTCACACACAAACACATGCTCACACATACACACATAAACATAACCACACTTTCACTTATGCATGGGCGTGCTCACATACATGAAAGCACTCGCATATTCACTCACACACATGAACGTGTTCACAATATACTCACAGATTCACTCACCTGCTGAAAATATGCACATCTACATTGATAGGTACATGGACATTAACATGCTTACACACATACTCTTGCATTCACCCACACATGAGCATTCTCACATACACGAACATGCTAATACAGTCTTCCATATACATGTGTAGTATGCCAGTGCAGGTGGACACATCACACAATACACAAACACGCTCATGTACACTTACATCAACACAGCTAGTTCACAGACATGAACATGCGCAGGTGTTCACTCACACATGGACATACTCACAAATCCACTAACACATGAACAGGCTCACATACTGTAATACACGCACACACTCACACATTCACACCTCCTCACGAACACACTCATACTTATGGACATGCTCATATGTTCAGTCCCACAAAACCACACTCACATATTCCCACACAGGCATCCTCACATAAACTCATATGTATATATGTTCACACATTCACTCTCACACACAGACAAGCTCACAAACATGCACGGTCATACCCTCACTTGAACACAAACACAATCATACACTCCCACACAACACACCTACACACATTCACATGCTCACAGATTTACTTCTGTACAACACACTCAAGCACACAAACATGCTCACACATTCACTTATACACAAACATGATGACACACACTGGCACATTCACCTGAACATGAACACACAAATTCACTCACATGCATGAACATGCTCACATACACTCATATACACAGCTCACACAATCACTTACACACAGACACACATGTGCTCCCACAAACACACACATTCACTCACACACACAAACATGTGCACACACAGCCATGAATCTTGGCTCCTGCTTTGGGGCTCGTTGCTTTTCAGGTTTTATCAGGAAAATGTTTAGAAGGAGTGCTTCATCCCTTAACGTTCTCTTTATTTTGCCCTGACCCCTTCCTTTGCACACATCGTGGGCGAGGCCTTGCTCTAACTATGAGATCAGTGCTATCACTATCCCCATTTTACCCATGAGGAGATTAAGACTCAGCAGGGTTAGGTGACTTACTCAGGATCACACAACTAACAAGTTTCAAAGAGGGTTCAAACCCAGGCAGCCTGGCTCCCAAGTTTATGCTCTTAACCTTTATTCTACCTTTCGTGTAACTGTGTCTTTCTGTCTTCTAGGTGCCCCTGTGCCTGTGAGAATATCTATTTATGTCACGAGCATTGAACAGATCTCAGAAATGAATATGGTAAGTGTGTTATTTCCAGCCATGGGGTTGGGAACAGAGGACATGGAACAAGCAGCAGGCTTATAATCCAAGTCCAGTTGTTCTGACCTGTGACAGAACTCACATAAAGGAACAAGGTAGGTTTGGGACACTGCAGCCATTCAGAATAAAAACTACATTAATTCAACCCCTACACCACACCACATCCAGAAACTCGGCTCCAGATGGATTATAGACTTAAAAGTGAAAGGCTTATTAAGCTTTTAAAAGATAGTGTAGAACACTGGCTTTATGTCTTGCAGTAGGATTTCTTTAAAAAGACACAGAAAACACAGACCACACAAAATAAATCTGGTACCTTCAACTATATTGAAATTCTGTGTAACCAAATTTACAGAACTCCTGTTTTACAAAACAAAACCATTATAACAAGTGTGAAAGGATCAATCACAGTGGACTAAGATGCTTGCAGCATGAAGGACATATTCAAAATATGCATCATTTTGTGAATTAATAAGAATATTTTGAAACCGATAGAAAAATTATCAGAAAATATGAACAAGAATATCACTTCTGTAAGAAAATTAAACAGCAGGTAAATATATGAAACATATGAAAAGACGGTTAGCCTTGTTAGTAGTGCAAAATAAAACCTGAATGAGAACCCATTACATACCAAATTAGCAAAAGTCCAAAGTCAGACAATACCAATGTTGGTGAAGCCAAAGCACTGGGAACCCTCTGCAGCTTTTTGGCGCTTGGCTTTCGGCAGGGATATAAAGTGGAACTTCTACTTCATCATTTTTATTTCATCATGGTTTTGGTATGCATGTTCATATGATAATCTGCGTGGTATATTCGTATATTATCCAGAAAAGCAAGTGAACAAATTATAATTACACATGTCCACCTGAGTGAATCTCACAAAGATAATGTTGAGTGAAAGAAGCAAATTATGAATACATACAGTATTATTTCATTCAGATAAAATTTTAAAAACAGGTCCAACTAAGCAATATGTTTTCCAGCAATACATAGACAATAAAACTCTCACACAAAGCAAGGGAATTATCATAAAAACTCGGATAATGGTTACTGCTGGGGGTGTGAGGGAAATATATTCTGGAAGACATACATTGGGGTTTGAAAGTTATTGGTAATATTCTGTTTCTTAACCTGGATTCTAATTACACAAGATTCATTTTATTCTTTCTTTAAACCTCCGTATGTTTCACGCACTTGTATATAGTTATGATATACTTCATACACTTGCATACACAAGTGCATGCACACATACACACACACCCTACACACACCAAGGATGGAGCTCTGGACAACCAAACTTACAACTGGGATTTACATTTGTCTTCCCAGGACTACACGATCACGATGTTTTTTCATCAGACTTGGAAAGATTCACGCTTAGCATACTATGAGACCACCCTGAACTTGACCCTGGACTATCGGATGCATGAGAAGTTGTGGGTCCCTGACTGCTACTTTCTGAACAGCAAGGATGCTTTCGTGCATGATGTGACTGTGGAGAATCGCGTGTTTCAGCTTCACCCAGATGGAACGGTGCGGTACGGCATCCGGTGAGTCCCCTAGGGGTCTGGGGATGTCCCAGCAGACTTCCTTCTTCCTACTGAATATTCTACAAACACACTCTAAGGGACACACAAAGGCACCCACTGCTTTCCAAACCCGTCTTGAACTTCCCCCTTCACTCGTTCTACCCAGTAGCCAAAGTGGAAATTTCACAGTTTCCCACAGACACCCTTAGCTGTTCTGTCCCCACACCTTGGTTTCTGCTGTTCCTTCTGTCTGGATTGGTCAGTCCTTTCCCCCTTTCCATGAGCTGAAACCTTGCCCACCCTGAAATCCCTAACTCAAATGCCCCCTTGGTCAGGAAGTCCTCCTTGATTCCCTCAACTGAAAGACCTCTCCCTCCACCCTAGTGTTGCATGCATTCTGTTCTTTATCTTTGTCTTTTCTCTCTGTGCAGTGAGGGAGGGAGAAGATGAATGCTGAAGTCCATGCAGTGAACGAGGGGGCCTGCTTTCTGCCTTCAGTCATATTTGCATCATGCAGGGCCTCCAGGAGTGCGGAGGGGCAGGGTGTGTGTGGCATGGGTCTCTGGTCTATGGCTCTCCACACACACGGAGCAATTGCAAGCTGAACCTCCTCACTAGTCTAGTTATAGCATAGGAGACAGTCACCAAGTTTCTCCTCACAGCGGCATCTCTTACAAACTGTCTCCAAAGACGTGTGTAAGAGATCAGTTTAGCTCAGAAAATGTGTCTGAGAAGTAGTTACCAGGGTTTGGCTCTTACGGTTTTTACAGATCTAATCTCTGGGTTTCTCTTTCTCCGTGGAGCTCTTGCTCCATTCCTTCCTTTTTCCATCCACCTTCCCACAGACCCAGGCTCTGAAATCGGGAAATAACAAGACTCACAGGGAACAGGTCACTGGTCACACTTGTTCTACTTAAAGGGAGAATTAGCTGAATAATGCTGCATGGAGGATTCATAGAAGGGAGAAAAACACACATGCACTCACACGTGCACGCGCACACCATATCCAGTGTACAAAATGGAAATTATTTCAAGGAAGCAATTGAAAGGGACTCAGCTGGGGTTAGCAGATAAGAAGGGCAGAATAAGGGATGGAGCAGAGCCTCCCAGGGGAGGCTGTAGAGAGCTTGTGTGTTATCTTCTCTCCCACTGGACACTTCGCCCACTTTCTCAGCACCTCTGAGACCCCTCAGATTCTTCTTCTTTTTTTTATTTTTATTTTTTTTTTTTTGAGATGGAGTCTCACTCTGTTGCCCAGGCTGGAGTGCAGTAAGTGGCACAATGTCGGCTCACTGCAACCTCCGCCTCCCGGGTTCAAGCAATTCTCCTGCCTCAGCCTCCCCAGTAGCTGGGAATACAGGTGAGTGCCGCCACACCCAGCTAATTTTTTGTATTTTTAGTAGAGACAGGGCTTCACTGTGTTAGCCAGGATGGTCTCCATCTCCTGACCTGATCCGCCTGCCTCGGCCTCCCAAAGTGCTGGGATGACAGGTGTGAGCCACCGCGCCCGGCCGGATTCTTCTTATGGATGCACTCACCACATTGCAACTTAAAGCTCCTGCCCACTTCGTGTACTGTCAACAGTGCCATGGCTCACCACAGATATGTTTATCCCTTCTGTCCATTTCGCACCCAATGACATTTTGCTAGTCCCCAATACCCACATAGGCCTGCACCTCTGGCTTGTGTACAGATGTGGCCAGAGGCAGGCCTGGATGGAGGCTCCCAGCTGTACATGCACACTTGACACCAGCACTCCACATTGCATCTGGAGTCTCAGCTGATTTGGCGTAGCACACAGTTTTCTCTTGCTAGCCTCACTCCTTCTGTAGGAAGCACCCCTTTCCGTCTCTGCATTCAGTTTCCTCCGGGGCCCTTCCCATCTGACACCCTGCAGTTTTCTGAGGTGCCATACGTGTGTTCTCTGTTTATGTGCTGCCAGGTCTCTTGGTTACTTTGTCACAAACAAATTTCCTCTCTCCTCTCTACACATGGGTCAGTCCTTGGGATAACTCTTCCCTCCCCACCCCTGCAGTTTCCTCAGCAATGGTTGTTTGCCTAGGCTTCACTCACTTTCTCCTTCCTTTTTGTTTTCCTTTGCAGACTCACCACTACAGCAGCTTGTTCCCTGGATCTGCATAAATTCCCTATGGACAAGCAGGCCTGCAACCTGGTGGTAGAGAGCTGTACGTATGTCTCCTATGGCCCCTTCTTCCGTACTTGGGGCTGTGGTGATCAGGGAAGCAGAGGCTGAATTGACAGTAAAAGGGCCAGTGTATCTCCTGTGCTCCCTCCCTCCCCCCATTCTCTCTCCCAAAATAAATAGACGATAGAGGATAGACAGATGATAGAAATAAAGAGAGAAAGATGGTGGAGAGATAGATAGGTGATAGATAATTTATTGACAGATAGATGTATAAATACAGCATCTGGGACTAGGTGGTCTTTAGAGCATAAACGGTCCTCTGGGAAAATGTCACCTTACTGTTGGGAAAGTGTGTGCAAGTTAGTGGGTAGGAGCTTGTAGCATGTCTTTTTTGTGCTTTTCTTTCTTTCTAAGAATCTGAGACTACCTCTGTTTCTCTCCTTCCCAGATGGTTACACGGTTGAAGACATCATATTATTCTGGGATGACAATGGGAACGCCATCCACATGACTGAGGAGCTGCATATCCCTCAGTTCACTTTCCTGGGAAGGACGATTACTAGCAAGGAGGTGTATTTCTACACAGGTGGGTCTGACCCCTTCCTTCTCTCCTGTCTCATGTCTGCCTTGCACCTCCATAAACTCCTAGCGGCCTCTGATTTTGGCTCCTATTCTCTGGTGCCTCCTTTTCCACTTCCTACTGGTTCCAGGCCCCCTTAAGAAAGCCCCAATGACTCATCCACCGCCAATGAGGAATGGCCGTGGAAGCACTTAGCCAGGTTCACAACACTCTGCAGGTGTAAAAGATTCATGCTCCTCTCAGGGCTGGCCTTTCACCCTCCATCTGTTTGTACCTTGGGAACATCTCTTGCCTCTCCCATTCCAAAACTTCACCTAACATGGAGCAAGTGAGAAAGGAAAGTGGAGAGAGCAGACTTGCTATGCTCATGCGCCTACTGAGATATGCCACTGTCACTGATCTGCTAGTGCAGTCTGCCCAAGCTGGATGCCTCTGGATGGAGTATTACAAGCTGAACTTCCCATTGCTCTCCCCTCCTTCTCCATCCTGTACCTCTCCACCCTGCAAATGCGCCTCAGCCCTGCCACCCTAATTCCAGTGTGTCTCCTTGCCAGGTTCCTACATACGCCTGATACTGAAGTTCCAGGTTCAGAGGGAAGTTAACAGCTACCTTGTGCAAGTCTACTGGCCTACTGTCCTCACCACTATTACCTCTTGGATATCGTTTTGGATGAACTATGATTCCTCTGCAGCCAGGGTGACAATTGGTAGGTTCTGTCTCTGTCCCAGGAAAGAATTTGGGTCATTTGGCTCAGAAAAAAAGTTGAGAGTAAGGAAAAAGTACCCAGAACAGTGTGTGACTAACTACACAGGCAAGGAAATAAGGATTTTTCCAATAGACATTTGCACCTTTGTACAGGTGCACAGCCAATCCCCAATAGAGAGACCGATATTAGAGACAGATGTGAAAAAAAATCAAGGTTGGAATCTTGGCCCGTTGAGCCCCGAGTACCAGAATTCATTATTTCTTGAATCCATAAGTAAACGGACGAGTCATAAGTTTAGACCATAGGGGCCATTAAAAGGGGGCTAAATCACAGGGTGTCTGGGACAGGAGCTGAGGAGATGAGGAGAGCAGCACAAAGACATCCTGGTCAGGCTTAGGAAGACCTTGTACTTTATGTCTAAGCATGGGGAGCCATGAAAAATTTTTGAGCAGTACCAAGAAGAGACCTAAGAGATCAACTCCCTGGTTTGTCTGGCCCCATCCAGCAGAATGTCAATGTGTCCCAGATCCAGGTCTGGTTTCTCCTTCACCATCTGTGGGGCAGACTCCTCAGCCTCCCTCTTTAGGAGAACGTTCTGGACTAAAGCTTTATATTTGTGTAATAGTTTAGGGCTCAGAAAACCTTCCCAAGAACTAAAGAAAGGCAAAAGGGAAAGGAGCCATCATAGGCCAAGGTGGGGCTGAAGATGTCAATTGCCATGAAGCCACGGCTAGAGGTTTGAGACTTGACGCTAAGAGCAATAAGAAGTCATTGAACCAGTGAAGCGTGGGCTGAGTTTAAAGATGGGGGAAAAGGAATAAAGAGAGAGCCGAAGGCCTTTGCTGTGGGCCCTCCTCACCCCAAATATGTTTGGGTGGGGGCCTGACAGGTTGCCAAGAACGTTAGCCATCAGAGGAGACTAAGTCTGTACTGTGTTGCTTACAGGCTTAACTTCAATGCTCATCCTGACCACCATCGACTCACATCTGCGGGATAAGCTCCCCAACATTTCCTGTATCAAGGCCATTGATATCTATATCCTCGTGTGCTTGTTCTTTGTGTTCCTGTCCTTGCTGGAGTATGTCTACATCAACTATCTTTTCTACAGTCGAGGACCTCGGCGCCAGCCTAGGCGACACAGGAGACCCCGAAGAGTCATTGCCCGCTACCGCTACCAGCAAGTGGTGGTAGGAAACGTGCAGGTTTGACTTTTTGACTGACAATCAGCTTTCCCTGAGCACCTCTTGAGCCCAGGCTTAGCGCTTTTGACCCTTTTGCATTTCTTAGCTTTTTAAATACGCGCACCCACACATGCGCGCACACGCAAAACACACACACACAACATATAACAAAGAAGTAGTACTATTTCTCATCACTCCTTTATAGATGATCATTGTCCAAGGTCACAAGGCAAGTAAGTGGCAGAGCTAAATTTCTCCAGACCTTTGGACTGAATTTGGTCCACTTTGCATGCTTCCAGAGCAGGCAATGAAGCTGGAAGGGAAGATGGGCGCAGGGAGACTGAAAGGAAGACAGACACCGGAGAGGCTGGCCTACCTACCCCTCCTTCCTTGGCACTTCAGACTCCCAAGGCAATGCTGAGGCTTTTGCTGTGGGCAGTATGTTAATGCCCAGCTACCTCCCTCCTTCGCAGAAAGCCCGGTCCTGCCTGCCTGAGCAGGCATCCATCCACCACACAGCACTCCTGAGGGAGCAGCTGCCTCCAGCGAGACACTGGCTTGGCAGCCTCCATAGCCTTCCCTTGCATGCTAACAGCCGATTGGTCCTGTTCCTCACCCCTTGAACACCAGAGACCCCAAGAGGAGCTGGCTCTATCTGTCAAAGAGATCAGTAACATTACAAGTGCTGATGAGGGAAGTCCCTTCCCTCCTCCCTCCCCCCAGTGCATATCCATCTAGGCGATATGAAACTGATGAGCCTATCCATTATCTCCTCAAAGGATGGCCTGATTAACGTGGAAGACGGAGTCAGCTCTCTCCCCATCACCCCAGCGCAGGCCCCCCTGGCAAGCCCGGAAAGCCTCGGTTCTTTGACGTCCACCTCCGAGCAGGCCCAGCTGGCCACCTCGGAAAGCCTCAGCCCACTCACTTCTCTCTCAGGCCAGGCCCCCCTGGCCACTGGAGAAAGCCTGAGCGATCTCCCCTCCACCTCAGAGCAGGCCCGGCACAGCTATGGTGTTCGCTTTAATGGTTTCCAGGCTGATGACAGTATTATTCCTACCGAAATCCGCAACCGTGTCGAAGCCCATGGCCATGGTGTTACCCATGACCATGAAGATTCCAATGAGAGCTTGAGCTCGGATGAGCGCCATGGCCATGGCCCCAGTGGGAAGCCCATGCTTCACCATGGCGAGAAGGGTGTGCAAGAAGCAGGCTGGGACCTTGATGACAACAATGACAAGAGCGACTGCCTTGCCATTAAGGAGCAATTCAAGTGTGATACTAACAGTACCTGGGGCCTTAATGATGATGAGCTCATGGCCCATGGCCAAGAGAAGGACAGTAGCTCAGAGTCTGAGGATAGTTGCCCCCCAAGCCCTGGGTGCTCCTTCACTGAAGGGTTCTCCTTCGATCTCTTTAATCCTGACTACGTCCCAAAGGTCGACAAGTGGTCCCGGTTCCTCTTCCCTCTGGCCTTTGGGTTGTTCAACATTGTTTACTGGGTATACCATATGTATTAGTCCCCCAGTGCTCCAGAACAGCGGGAGCACTGTGCTGTGCTCCTTTCAGTTTCTTTTGGGTTTGTTTTTCCCTCTTTCCTTTGTTCCTTTTATTTTGTGGTTATTTGGGCAATCCAATAAGTTCATACTTCTCTTTATAAACATGAGGTGGGGAGTAATTGGAAAGAACATGTTCTAGCTGGAAGGGAAGGGATTGAGGAGGAGTTGGAGGTATACAGCACATGGATTTCCTTTCCTGCTAGAAGACTCTCACCTTTTCAAAGACTTGTAACAAGGAATAAGCATAGAAAAGCCCCTGGAAATGTTTAGAGGACAGAGAAGAGCCAGGTTGGGGGATGGGGCAAGGATCTGGGCCTTTTGCCCACAAACATTTCTGGGGGGCTTTTCTGTCCCCCTTGAGGTGTCAACATTTCTTTTTCATTACATGTTTTCTTCTTTTTTTGTTTCCTCCTAGGGATTATGGGTCTTGTTCACCCTCTGCTTAGGGCTTTATAGAAGAAAGTCAAGCTGGGTTGGGCTGGGGTTCATAGCTAAAGGGCTAGCCATGGCTTAGAAGTTCAGGGAACTTCCTATAGGAAACTTAGGGAGCATTTGTAAGTGCCTTTCCCCCACTGTATGGCATTTGACTGTGGTGTTTTGATGCAAGCGTGGAAGGGGAATGTGGGTGGATGGGGCTGCAGAGTGAGACATCAGGGTGAGAGAGCACATACTCAGCTTGTGGGGTTGGCAGAGGGTGGGGGGTGATGTCAGGTTGGAAATTACACAGTTGAGCTGGCCTCTTCGGAGGGATTGGAACTTGCCTATATTTCTGCTTCAGAACGCTTGGCAATAGAGACTCAATACATCTGTCTAAGTCAGGAGTTAGCTTTCCGTCAGTTGCTGAGTTGATCACCAGTTACAGCACTTGGTGAATAAGCACTAAGGTTAGGATAATTCACACTTGCTATTTTACCATCTGATCTAGACTAGCAGATGAATATCTATCGTAAGTCTATATACTAATCCTTTCTATTTGTCTAGTGCATAGTAAGTGTCAACAAGCTCCCTGACCCATTACATCACTGGAGCCTCACAGGAGCCCTGTAAGCCAGGGAAGGCAAAGCACATTGTCCCCAGTGTTCCAAGGAAAACGAATGGAGCTTATGCCGCATGCTTGAGGACATGCAGCCAGTGAGTGGTAGATCCACCCCACTTGCTCTTTCTTGTCTTTTTCCTCCTGACTGTCCCAACTGAGGCATTTCCTTTTCTTCCCTCCCTAAAGAGGGTGCTCCAGAGGGCCCCCACCACATCCTCTAGCACCTGGGGCATCTCTGCAGGAATAGGCTGGTGACCAGCCAATGAGCGTGACGTGAGCAGATGGAGAACACACTCTGCCCACTGAGCAGGGCCCCTAACGGAAGTAGGATTGGCCAGCATTCCAACTTGCCAAGCAGCTCCACCTCACTGATGGAGGTTGTGAGGGAGTGAACTTTGCCGAGCACTCAACATATGCCACCTCTTCCTCCCTATGCAGTCTCTCCCTCAGTCCCTTACCCCTCTACCCACTCACCCTTTAACTGTGCTTCTGTGTTTGTGTTTCTGTATATACCTGGGTGTATGCATATGCAGCAGGGTGGGTGTATGTACATATACAACCATTTGAGAAGCTGCATAGTGCCGTGTCTAGTGGTGTAAATCTACATTGGTGTGTACAGAATTGTATCTACAGCATGTGGATGCATGCGTGTGTGTGCACATCCCTGTGAAAGTGTGGCTTATGTATGTGTATGCTTGTGTACACATGGGTCTATGCTGAGTGCATGTATATAAGGGCATGTCTGCATATCTATGTTTATCTGATTTGAATGGGTGTGAAAGGAAATACCCCTGAAAGCATATGTATTCCCTGTTGGTGACCCTTCTAGAACCACTATAATTCCCTTGGCCTGCTCCCATATGGTGGAGGGGCCCTATTTGGCCGGGCTGCTTAACTGACTGTTTCTTTCCAACTTCCTGTTCCAGGGAGCAGCATCTCCCAGTTCCCTTCCACTGTTTGCCCTGTCCCTCCATCCATCTGTGCTGTCTCCTAGATAGAAGACTGGGGAAGTGAATGTAGTCCTAAGAAGTGGTGAGCTAGTGCCTTGAGGTAGGAAGTGGTTAATCCATGGAAGAAGCTGCAAGTACAGAGCATTTCACTTTGTCCTAGAGGAACATGTTTCGGGGTAACAGGCTGGGGAGTGAGGCTGAAAGAGGCATTGAGAATAGACACTTGTACAGTCACATACACATACACACACACAAATCTTGTACGACAGTTGAAAACAAGAAAGTTACCACTGGAAGAGCTAAAATTGCCTCTTTATTTTTGGATACCCCATACAGAGATTCAGGTGGAGGGGAGAGCAGTGACTCCATGTCTGAAGCTCCCAATGTGGCTATTGAAAGGCTGGCTTCCTGGAGCCTAAGCATTGGTTGGTTGACGTGGATTTGGGTCTCCAGCACCCTGGAGGTGCTTTCAACCCTGTGGTGGCAAGCAGTTCATTTGGGATAAAGTCATAAAGGGAGATTGGAGCAGTGTGAAGAAAAGGAGGGTTTTAAGATTTGTCTGGAAGCAATGCACATGAAGGCTTCACAGCACAGAGGAAGGGCAGCGAGGCCAGTTGTAAATATCTCTATAGATCCATATAGCTAGATATAATACTATACCTTAAAAAGGATATCTTGCCCTGACGTGCTGCAATGAGAGCAGTTGAACTCTACTGCGACTCATACTCTGTAGGTTAAGTGTCAAAATGAGGTGGAGATTTGGCAGTGACACCCTTTCGGGAACGTGAACCTTCTGAGTTTGCTATGGATTTGGTCATTTTAGCCTGCACGTTGCCAGATCTCCCCTTGTTGAGTCTTGTATGTGGTCTGTCCTCTGTGTCATTTGAGTCCTCAGCTGTCCCCAACCCCTTCCCAGCCCCTCCCCAGCCTGCAGTCACCCCCTGTCCAGCAAGCTGCCTCCATCCCATCCCTCTCCTCACCTCACACCAGGTAACTCTGGAAGTGCAGAATGCTTGGTAGTTTGGAGCTTGGGCAGCATCTGGGATGCAACAACCCCTATTTTACTCTTCTACCCACCTTCCATTTCTTTCCTTCCCATCGACTTCCCCGACCCAGGATCCCTTCTTTGCCACTATCATGGGAAGGACACCCCTGTCTGTCTTTCTGAAGTATCATTTTATTGTGGGGATGTGTGACACGTTTCCTACCAAGTTCTTGCCAGTTCCATCTGCCACTGTGGGGTGCCTTTGCACAGGTCATGGACGATCTGCTGGGTCTTACTAGAGCCTGTCAAATGTATTCTTACAATTCATGTCATCTTGTTAATAGCAGGACTTCAAAGTCTTTGCATATTTAGAGCTGAGTTTTGCTGAGACTGTGGCCATTCCTAATGAGGTTTCCTCATTCCATATATATAATAGCTAACCCTTAAAGCCATTAACTAATGAATGCATTTATTAAGCTATCCACTCGCATGGTACCCTGCTGTGGTGATGAGCAGTAACTTTCTAGCTATTCCATAGCCCAACATCAAAGGAAATCGTGACTCGTCCTACTAGAAGTGTAGTGTCTTTGTGTTTGTTGTGTAGTGTCCTGTGATCAATATAAAATCTATATTATCAGTGTTGGGTTTTCAGGGGAGGGAGGGAGAGGATGTTAAAGTCTCTCTTTGATAAACTTAAATTATGAAATAGCCCAGTTGTTCAGGGTCACTTCTATTGACTCAATTTGTGTGAGACTTTGCACTCACTATCTCGCCGGCCGGACTGCATGCCCAGGGTCAGTAGTCAGCAGAGCTAAAGGTGCCCGAATTTAGCACAGCTGGCTGTGGTGCCTGACATAGGGCAGTACCGGGGGATTCTTCAGAGGTCAGCCAAGTCGGTAACATTCTGTGAAGCAGATTAAATACAGTAAAATCAAACAAACGGAGGTCTTTGGAAGTGATGCTGGGCCCAGGCAGTGAAAATCAAGAAAAGAGGAGAAAGACCAAGACCTGGATGTCCTGGACGACCTGACCCAAAAAGGGGCACAAAGCAGCAGAGCTTCACCAGGTGACTGGGTGGCTTCTTTGTCCTCATTAAATGTACATCTTTGCATGAAAAGGACCTTGACTGGTCT